>NC_000001.11:246032606-246184121 GCF_000001405.40 Homo sapiens | reverse complement strand
TGGGAATACTGCCACTTAGGGAAAAATACAACCTGATCTTTTGTGGATCTTGGAGTGGCTTACTTGGTTTAAAATAATCTGGGACGTGGATAGGTGGAGTTATTTCAAGCCCTTCGGCTTTACTTCCATGCCTAATGTCTTTTCTCATCATTTATTAAAGCGCTTTGACTTTGATATGTATCCTGTTACCACCTTGTAAATCCTTTTAGTAATACCTTTCTATGATGAAGGTGTAAACACTGCTGTTTCTACCGCATTTACTTCTCCCTCCGTGTCATTTTTATAGGACTTTAAACCTGCTAATGTTCCAGGTTATTAATTTAAAACAGCCAGCCAAATAGTAGAAGCTTCTTTCTCATCTGTAATGTCCTGACCTCATTTTACCTGTTTCCTTTTCAAATTCAGTTTGGAAATCTCAATTTTCATAATCTTTTGAGCTACTACTTCACTTCCCTGATATTTGCAATTTAGCAGCCTTATTATTTTCAAGACTTTATATCAGGACCACACATGAAATAATTACTTTTTTTTTTTGGTGCTGGACATACTCCCCTAGCTAGTCAGGATTTTTATTTATCTTTCTTTATCTTGTAGGAAATGGAATTCTTATTTGCATTTTCCCTGATTTCTCACCTTGCTTCTTCTTAACCTTGTTCTGACAGTATTTAAGTGATGTAGCTTGGACATTGTTTGCTTTTTTATCTCTTATGCCAACCTTCTTGTATTTAGCTACATGCTTAGAGCTGCCCAATTAAATGGCATCCAGTAAACTGTATTAGGGTTTGTGCTTGAAAATGCTTTGAAGACGCAGTTGATGTTTTCTTTGTAGTTTCTCGTTATTCCTCAAGTTTGTAAGTTAGTCTAATTGAAAAGTATTGTCTGGAAAACTGCCTCGTTTACATGCAGATTTCATTGATTGCCCTGGGCTTGTACAGACTTCGCAATACTTTTGTTGATGGAGTTTCTCTTATGTGAAACACTTTAGCTACCTGTCCTTGGTTCTGGACTCTAGCTTTCCAAAAGCAACATGGAGAATTTAAAGGGGCCTTAGATAAAAGCCAAAAATAGACTTAGAAGATAAAGTTAAAGGGGTTACAATTATTTAATCTGCTAAAAATAAGGGTGTGGAGAAATTTAGCAATGTGCTAACTGTGTCTTCTCTATGTTAAGTATGCTCATTTGTACTTAGGGGCTCAGTTAGTGTCTTCTCAGCCGGGTCTGGAAAACCTGGTATTGTGATTTTGCTTCAGTATCATCATTAGGAAGGATTTAGGTTTGAGCAATGGAAGTGATGTTGAACATAGGAATGAGTGTCTGGGGAGGAGAGGCATTGTGGAAATGGCCTCCTGAGTCTTACTTCCTGGATAAGATGGATTATGGGTAAAGGTGTCTTCCAGATACAGGATTCTAATCTGATTGCTGTCATCAGTTTTATTTTTCTAATTGTGACTCAAAGTGCTTTATATGGTGGAAGAACAACAAAGTGCACCTAACTGTTTCAGAAATGGATCTCTTGGATAAGGCTGGTGAACAGGTCCAGGTAGACTGTTGTGTGGGGTACTGGAAAGAGTACTGTACTGGGAGTCATATATCTAGGTGAGGACCCAGCTTTGCATGAAAGTGGCTACCTGACCCTGAGCCTGTGACGTTATCACTTCAGTCTCCAGTTGTCCTTTTTACTGTGTGGGAGATTGGTTAGAATAATTCTTAGGTCCCCTTTGGATCAGTTCTATGTGTGACAGTGGGAGTGAGGTCATAACTATCAGGGAGGAAGAGGTGATAGAGAAGTCGAGAGATGGGAAGATTAAGTGGAGTGAAGGCTGAGGTAATAGGAGAAAGGGGAAGGAAGGGAGATGGCGAGGAGGGGTTTTCAGTGGGGAACTGATAAGAGTGTTTGTGGCCACCAGGGATGGAGTTTTACAAGTTTTAAAAGTTGATCTCTTTCTCTCTCTCTTTAATGTGCTGGATTTCAGTTACGATGAGAACAACAGTGGTGAGGTTTTACTTGGTCTCTCTTTTTAAAAATTAGATTAATTTGGCAGAATTTAAGACTGTTAACTCAATTTTCTCTTTCTGTTCCTTATATAAGTAGGTTAAAATAGTGCTCTTTCTTTGAAGATTTCAAATAATTCTTTTTATTATTACAAATGCCCCCTGTGAAATAAGCAAAGGTAATTATCTCTACGTGATCATTGGGGAAATGTAGGTACAATGTAATTAAACAATTTATTTGGGAATTTAGTATGCTAGTGTTAGAATTCATTTTTCAAATCTCTCTACCTGGCTTCTCTGCTTTAAGTTGTGTCTATGTATCTGGAGGATATGTTAGCCCACTGGTGCTTGGCACACGGGTTGTAGAAGTACTAATATATCTCAGAGATGGACATCCTTCATCCTCTTGAACGCATCTTAAGGACTAGATCCCAAAGGGGACCCCTATGTGTCTGTTTCATAATTCAGTAACTGAATTTATTTCTTATAAATAAAACCATACAAGTTAAGAAAAATCACATACCTATGGGGTATTCTGACATTTCCTGTGTTTTTGTGTAGAGGAGATCTTTGGTTGCATGAAGTGTGAATCATGAAATGATAGAATTTATAGTATTTTCTTTGAATTTCCTGAGTCCTCTAGATGTCAGACAGGATGTCAGATGTACTGCCATTACTGAATAGTCTCAGCTGTGGGGAGTGGCAGGGATGTCAGCTGACAGCCTGAAATGCTTTGCATTAGTTTTGTAAGTACACAGATTCCTTACATCACAGCTGAGTATAATGTCAAGGATGCCTCCTACTTCCACTAGAGCTGAGACTAGTGTATCTGTTTGAAGGTTGGATGGAGGAAGAGTACAGGAAAACCTTTGTCCTTCAGTGCAATCATTTGTATTAGAAATTTGTAAAATATACTCTAGGCGAGACATTGATTTGCCTTGCTCTCTTGAGACACTGCTTTGCATGGCCATTTCTCTCAGTGGAATGAAACCTCTGTTCACAAGAGCACTTGTTTCCACATCCCAGAGGCGCATGGTTCCTACCACTTCTCAAGGATGGGAATGCATGTGGAGAGATGAATGATAGTAATTTTCATAGTTAAATGATCACTTTATCTGTAGGAAACAAATAGAACCCCTATGATGGACATATTAGAGTAGAGTATGTTCCTCCCTGATATTTTGTTGCTTTTAAAGCACGTCACATCTCTTTATGGCTCCTTACGCCTCTTTCTCTGTTTCTGTCAGTTCTGGGGAGTGTTTCTAAAGGGAGGAATCTCTTGCTGGAAACTAGGTATAGTGATTACCCATTCTCTTCTGCCCTCCTGAGTTGTTTTTTTTTTTTTTTTTTTTTTTTTTTTTTTTTTTTTTGAGACAGAGTCTTGCTCTGTTGCCCAGGCTTGGAGTGTGGTGGTGCGATCTCAGCTCACTGCAAGCACTGCCTCCCAGGTTCAAGCTGTTCTCCTGCGTTAGCCTCTCAAGTAGCTGGGACTACAGGCATCCACCACCACTCCCAGCTAACTTTTTTTGTATTTTTAGTAGAGATGGAGTTTCACCATGTTAACCAGGATGGTCTTGATCTCCTGACTTCATGATCCACCTGCCTCGGCCTCCTAAAGTGCTGGGATTACAGGCATGAACCACCACACCCGGCCTAACCCTCCTGAGTTTTAAAATCAGGTGGCAAACATTTGCATCAGTCTCCAAAATCAAATCTTCATGACCTTGAGTGGAAGGTATAAGATAGAATAGGTAGTTTATATATATACTTATATATATATAAGTAGTTTATATATATACTTATATATATAAGTAGTTTATATATATACTTATATATATATAAGTAGTTTATATATACACATATATATAGAGAGAGATTATGTTTTCTAATATACATATATGTATATATATTTTCTAATATATGTGTATATATATTTTTCTACTATATGTAGATATATATTTTCTAATATATCTATATTAGATATATTAGATATGGGATCTTGCTATATTGCCCAGGGTGGTCTTGAACTCTGTGGCTCAAGTGATCCTCCTGCCTTGACCTCCCAAAGTGCTGGGGTTATTGGCATGAGCCACCACACCTGGTCTCATGTTTCCTTTTAACTGAGTACTTAATTCACACCTTTTCCTCTTTTGGCTGCTACTCTGATAACAAGTAGGTCCCCACCTTTGAAGAACATTGCATCTGACCAGACTGAGAGCCAGGGTGAACATGGGCCCCAGACCAGAGCTTTTGGAATAACAAGGAACAGCAAAAACCAATCTTCCCCTTCACTTAGAAAGAGACTGTGGATGGAGGGTCCAAATCTCCGCTATCAACACATAGAAAGCCTGGAGCTCAATGCCAACATGGAAACCAAAATTTATCAGGAATGAAATGTAGTATCCCTTCATATACTCAAGGTTAAGATGGGTTTTGAGAAATATATATCTGACCATCTGGCTTCTTCTAGGAGAAGTGGCCTCACTCCAGCACTTTTAAAAGATGTTTTTCTTGCTATTACATTTCCCAAAGGGGGATTAAATCTACTAAAAGGGATCTAGTGAATCCGAATAAATCAGCTGTCTCATAAGAAACATTCCTGGATGATGATTTCTGGTTGCTGAGATTATTCAGCACATTATTTCAGAGTGGCAAAATTGAGGGCAATCTGAGAAAATAGAATTCAGTGGTGGCAATATTTGCTGACAGATTTATATGTAGGACACACATACAACCCCCATTTTTTCAGTCTGTATGTCAAGAGATCAGGACCCCTCATCACCAAAATAAATTATTTTGTGCATTACAGTGAAGAGGACAACAGAGGGAAAGACGCTTTCTTGGAGGGCAATTGAAAGGCCTTTTGCGAAGGTCCATATCACTCTGAAGTGGAAGGACTGGAGCCCAGTGCCATGTGGCTTTCGTTAGCTTGACTGCTCCTCTTCTTTGGGTGCAGTGACCTCACTGGAAGCTGTTTCTTCCACTTGTTCTGCTGGCTACTTCTCCTCCTCCTCCTCTTCCTCTTCCTGTTGGGGTTAGAGGTTTGAGTATTTCTGTATACATTCTTGCATGGCCTTGAACTTGTTTATATAATCTGAGCCCTTGAATCCTCCATCCTACAATGGAAGCAGGAAAAGTTTGACTTAAACTGTTCCCTACAGGGGCCTCTGGCCATTCCCCTAAGGCCTGGGTAGTTTCAGTTAATGTGTTCATTTGGCAGTATCAATCCGTGCTCCTCATAGGGATCGCTGCAGTCATCAGCCACCTGCTCTGCATTGATTGGAGTCTAATGGGTTTTTTTTTTTGGTCACAAATATGATTCAGTCTTTCCCTTCTGGCTAGCGTAGAACATGGCTACAGGCTGGCACTTAGACCTCACAGAAGAAGCAGTGGCAGCTCAGTTTAATTAAAGACAAAGAAATTTCTGTTGATTGAAACTCGCTCACTTTGGGGACCTTCAAATTAAGAAAAAAGGTCTGCTTGCTGAGGAGGCCGTAATGAGAGAGATGGAGTGGGTGTGCCTGTTTTTATGCTGTAGCCATGCATGCACTTGTCCATTCATTCATTTGCTTGTTTCAGTAAATATTGATCGAGCAGGTATGATGTGGCAAGCGTGAAAATACTTCCACAAAGCAAGTAACTCGAGTGGAGCCTCTCCCACTTCAGTGGTGTTTTTGGCTTATACTCTGTCTACGGCATTTCTCAACTGTATGTAAATGACTCCCGGTCTAGGAGATTTAAAATGGTGTTGTGTGGTATTGTTCCTTGGTTCATTCAAGTTCAGTCTTTAATCTTTTCAGAGTAGCTCCAACCATCTTTTGGGGCTTTACCTTCCTCTTGAATCATCAAATTCTTGAAGGTGATGGGTGCCACCTGCTTGATTCCAGAAGGACCGTCTCTGATCCCTGGCATTGTTCATTCAGGTGACTGGCAATTGAACATCCATCCCAGATTTACAGTTGCGATCCTATGGGAAAGCTCCCTCCTCCTGCCATTTCACCTTTGGAACTGTTGCTACACTCTGGAAGATTTTCCAGTAACTACATCTAATTAGAAGGGTGAATAAATTACCAAAGCAAGTTAAATTACCTTGTGTGTCATAACAATAATTAACATTCAAATAGGAAACCACTGCCATTTTTATAAACATCACTAAATGGAGGCAGCACCCTTTTTGAAAGCAGGAACCAAGAGAGTAGCACCTCCCTAAGCCTGCTGTAAGGATGGCCTGGGGGAGTTGCTAGGCGAAATGTTGAGAACATCCGTCTGGTTGAGATTGATGTCATTGGAGAAATTCTTTAATTGCTCTACTTAATATCTGAATCCTTCGAAGTAGCAACTTTTCTATGTACTAATCATTATCCACTCTGTCCTCATAGCTCTATGTGTTTTGCTTATGTCTTCCATCTTTCGAGAAGGAATGGAAATTGATCTGGTCACAAGACATTTTTGGACTAGGCTTTACTTAGAAAGCAGGTCACAGCCTTTTTAGACCCCACCTTTCAACAGTTCCACTCCTTCCTTGCTCATTTAATATACCTACCTTTGTTCTTTTTTGCTGTTCTTCTTAAACATTTTCTGTCCTGAAAATGTTTATTCTTCTCCATGATGCTACTTCGGTGTGGTCTCTTGATTTTATGTTTGTGCTTTTTTGCTTTTCTATAGAGTGGGATTATCAATTGCTTTTATTTATTCAGTAGGCTGCCATGTCTAGAATTTATTTAGACAATTGAAGGGGTAACTTGGTGCAACTCTGGCTTAAATAATAATGAGTTGTTAAAGGTTTTTGTTTTGTCCTCCTTTTAAACTTATAAACTCTTAAATGATGTTTGGATTGTAAGTGATGGCATGTAATTTAAGAAGACAGCATTGAAGTTGTAAATTTGCTCATAATTGAGAGATTGTCCCTAACATACTCCTACATGTTTCTACTGAAGAGAACAGTATATTAGCAGAGTGTAGTAAGGTTTAAATCACCTGATTTCTTAATATTATGAATAGGTGGCTCTTGTGTTTTGAAAAGATTTAACCAAGCCATAAATAAAATCATAGATCTTTATACCCTCAGGCCAAATATAAATCACAGTGGTTCCTGTAATATCCAAACAGCAGGCCTAAAAACAATTTAAAGTTTCTTTTCCTTTTCCTTTGTGTTTCACCAATTTGGGTTAAAGTCTATAGTTTGGGGATTCAGACATTATGTTTGTATGTTATACGTGCATTCTTTTAGTTCAAGAGTGGCTAGCCTCATGAGCCGTCTAAGGGGAAGAGCCAATATTACCAGTGCCATTAACAAACGGCCAGTATAGGCTGGTGTGGTGGCTCACATCTGTAATCCCAACACTTTGGGAGGCCGAGGTGAGCAGGTTGCTTGAGCTCAGGAGTTTCAGACCAGCCTGGACAACATGGCAAAACCCTGTCTCTGCAAAAAATACAGTAATTTGCCAGGCATGTTGGCACGCACCTGTGGGCCCAGCTACTCAGGAGGCTGTGGTAGGAGAGTTGCCTGAGCCCGGGAGGTCAAGGCTGCAGTGAGCTGTGATCTTGCGCCACTGCATTCCAGTCTGGGCCACAGCAAGACCTTGTCTCAAAACAAACAAAAGCCTATATAAGCATTAATCTCATTGCTTCGAATATGTTTTCGTGTTGCTGAGGGTCAGACCATGTAAGTGTTTTCCAATGTTTTAAAGAGTCAAATGTTACTTTTTTGTTACGGTATCAATTCAGTTCAAAATAATGTTTTGTTTTTTAATGTTTATCTCTTTCTGCCAAGGGCTCTGAAGAGCTAAATATAGTCCTTCTTAAGAGCCGGACAGTGGTGAATGGATGTAGGAATGGCCTGGATCCACTGGTACTTATGGGTGTAGTTGAGGAAGGCTAATTTTGTCAGCTGACCTGATTTTGGGACTCCACAGTTTGTTTCTGAGACTAAGTAGCAGATAAAAAAGAATTATTATTTTGTGGTTACTGGTGAGGGGGTTTGGGTTGAGGCCTGGAGGACTCAATGGAAAGGAGAGTACTGGAACGAAATAAAAAATTATCTTAGTGATTTTGTGTAACATTAGCTTAGAGTAAAACACTTGGTTTCCATTATCTTTCTGCTTTTGAATAAATATCTCTTCTAAAAGGACCATGGAAGATGTGGTAACTTGAGTCAGTACAAATTGCTTTTCATAGAGAATGTATTTAAGAAAGGAAACTCCTTCAAGTAAATTATGTATTTTGAAAAAAGTTTTTATTCTGTGTCTGCACAGTATAATATACTTGGAATTCATGGCTACTTTACACATGTTTCATTTACAATGTATTTGAAAGCCCTCCTTAATGAATAATGATAATTAGGTGATTGACATATTCTCCCACTTGACAATCACACATGCCAGTAAATTACCCTCTATTTTCCTGGAGTGTCGGCAATAAATGTTTAAAACTTTCCCCTAGCAAATGTCATTCAGCAAAATCCTAACAGATTAGAAGATACTCTGTTTCCCCAAATTGAGTGAATGACCACCCTGTGAATGGCCCTGTCTTCCTCGATAGTTCACAGACTACTTCCAGATCTGTGATGGAAAGTATAGTTCAAACTTAAGAAGTTAGATTTGAATATTTAAAGTGTTTTAATCCTCAGGTGGTAGAGGGATTTTCAAGTCTGGAGTACTTCTGTACTGTAAAGGTTATGCATAGGAAAAAATAACCTTTTTGTTTAATAAGCAGACAGTTATTACTCCAGATCTCAAAGAACAAAGCATTTATTTTACCTGAATTGTAAACCTCTCCCAGTGGTGCTTTTTGTTTTATCTCCTATCAGTTGGATAATACTAAGTTTATTATAATAAGGTATGTAAAAATCATCTTGAAGCCTGACTCTAATTTTTGGTGCAATATAAAGGGATATTTACCATGTTACAAAATACGATGACACAATATTTTCTACTCAAATACGATTTTGTAAATAAATGAATGTTTGTCTGTATCACCAGTGCGTTTTCTACATAGGGCACAGGCGCAGTTACTCCTTGAGCTATACTTAGTTTTTCCCCCAATAATTTCTGAACTTTGAGGTGTATTGTATAAATGATAAAATGTGTATATTTAAGGATATAATTTGATGATATTTGAGTATAGATAAATGCATATTCATGTAACCCACACTCTCATTAATACCTAAAAGATTTTCATGACCTTAGAAAGTATTGTAATATTTTAGATATTTCTAAAAGCAGCAGAGATTCATCGACTGGTGATCAGAGCAAACGTTATTTCAGTTTATCAGGTGCTTACCAGATGAAAGTGTGAAGAAGAAAGGCAGATATATTATAACTAATAATTAGTAATTGTTGAGACTCCACTCTCCTGGAATAGATCCACTGTTAAGAAACAAATGTAGTCATGCAGCGGTGTGTACCTGTAATTCCAGCATTTTGGGAGGCCAAGGCGGGAGGGTCACCTGAACTCAGGAGTTTGAGACCAGCCTGGCCAACATAGTGAAACCCCATCTCTACTAAAAATACAAAAATTAGTCAGGCGTGGTGGCATGTGCCTGTAGTCCCAGCTACTCAAGAGGCTGAGGTAGGAGAATTTCTTGAGCCTGGGAGGCAGAGGCTGCAGTGGGCTTTAATTGTGCCACTGCACTCCAACCTGGGCGACAGGGCCAGACCTGGTCTTAAAAACAAACAACAAACAAGAAAACCAAACAAATGTTGTCATGGCAGCATAATGATGTTTTGGTTAAGGATGGACTGTGTATACAATGCTGGTCCCATAATATTATAATAGAGCGGGGAACTTTCTACCACCTGTCATAACTCCACAGACAACACATTACTCGTGTTTGTGGTGAACCTGGTATTAAAAACCCTACGGTACTGCCAGTTCTATCAAAGTGTAGCACATGTAATTCTGTGCCATATATAATACTTGATAGTGATAAGAAATGACTGTGTTGCTCGTTTATATATTTACTATATTATACTTTTATCCTTAGAGCACACTCCTTCTACTTATTAAAAAAAATAAAGTTGGCCAGATGCAGTGGCTCATGCCTGTAGTCCCAGCCCTTTGGGAGCCTGAGGTAGAAGGATTGCTTGACATAAGGAGTTTGAGACCAATCTGAGTAGCATAATGAGACCCTGTGTCTGCAAAAATAAAAATAAAAAATAGTCAGGTGTGGTGACACGCACCTGTAGTCCTGGGTACTCAGGAGGCCGAGGTGGGAGGATAGCTTGAGCCCAGGAGTTTGAGGTTTATGTGAGCTATGATCCCGCTACTGCACTTCAGCCAGGGCAGGAAAGCAAGACCCTGTCTCAGAAAAAAAAAGCATTAAAAAATTAACTGTAAACAGCCTCAGGTAGTTCCTTTAGGAGGTATTCCAGAGAAGGCATTGTTATCATAAGAGCTGACAGCTCCATGCCTTTATTGACCCTGAATACTTTCCAGTGAGATCTGATATGGAGGTGGAAGACAGTGCTATTCATGACCCCGACCCTGTGTAGGCATAGACTAATGTGTGTGTTTGTGTCGTCGTTTTTAACAAAAAGTTTAAAAAGTAAAAAAAATTTAAAAATAGTTCAAAGCTTATAGAATAAGGTTATAAAAAAGGAAATGTTTTCATACAGCTGAACAATGTGTTAGTGTTTTAAGGTAAGTATTATTACAAGAGTCAAAAGGTTAAAAAAAGTTTATAAAGTAAAAAGTTACAGTAAGCTAAGCTTAATTTATTACTGAAGAAAGAAAAAGATTTTTAATAAATGTAGTGTAGCCTAAGTGTACAGCGTTGATAAAGTCTAGAGTAGAATACAGTGAGTGTTCTAGGCCTGTGTAGCCTAAGTGTGTAGTGTTGATAAAGTCTACAGTAGAGTACAGTGAGTGTTCTAGGCCGGTGTAGCCTAAGTGTGTAGTGTTGATGAAGTCTACAGTAGAGTACAGTGAGTGTTCTAGGCCTGTGTAGCCTAAGCGTACAGTGTGGATAGTCTGCAGTAGAGAACAGTGAGTGTTCTAGGCCTGTGTAGCCTAAGTGTGTAGTGTTGATAAAGTCTACAGTAGAGTACAGTGAGTGTTCTAGGCCTGTGTAGCCTAAGTGTGCGGTGTTGATAAAGTCTACAGTAGAGTACAGTGAGTGTTCTAGGCCTGTGTAGCCTAAGCGTACAGTGTTGATAAAGTCTACAGTAGAGTACAGTGAGTGTTCTAGGCCTGTGTAGCATAAGTGTGTAGTGTTGATAAAGTCTACAGTACAGTACAGTGAGTGTTCTAGGCCTGTGTAGCCTAAGTGTGTAGTGTTGATAAAGTCTACAGTAGAGTACAGTGAGTGTTCTAGGCCTGTGTAGCCTAAGTGTACAGTGTTGATAAAGTCTACAGTAGAGTACAGTGAGTGTTCTAGGCCTGTGTAGCCTAAGCGTACAGTGTGGATAGTCTGCAGTAGAGAACAGTGAGTGTTCTAGGCCTGTGTAGCCTAAGTGTGTAGTGTTGATAAAGTCTACAGTAGAGTACAGTGAGTGTTCTAGGCCTGTGTAGCCTAAGTGTGTAGTGTTGATAAAGTCTACAGTAGAGTACAGTGAGTGTTCTAGGCCTGTGTAGCCTAAGTGTGCAGTGTTGATAAAGTCTACAGTAGAGAACAGTGAGTGTTCTAGGCCTGTGTAGCCTAAGCATACAGTGTGGATAGTCTGCAGTAGAGAACAGTGAGTGTTCTAGGCCTGTGTAGCCTAAGTGTGTAGTGTTGATAAAGTCTACAGTACAGTGAGTGTTCTAGGCCTGTGTAGCCTAAGTGTGCAGTGTTGATAAAGTCTACAGTAGAGTACAGTGAGTGTTCTAGGCCTGTGTAGCCTAAGCGTACAGTGTGGATAGTCTGCAGTAGAGAACAGTGAGTGTTCTAGGCCTGTGTAGCCTAAGTGTGTGGTGTTGATAAAGTCTACAGTAGAGAACAGTGAGTGTTCTAGGCCTGTGTAGCCTAAGCGTGCAGTGTGGATAGTCTACAGTAGAGTACAGTGAGTGTTCTAGGCCTTCACATTCACCTGCCACTCGCTCATTCACGGAGAGCAACTTGTAGTCCTGCAAGCTCCATTCATGGTCAGTGCTCTACATAGGTATACCATTTTTATCTTTCATAACTTTCTTTTCCTTCATGAGATAAAGTCATAGTCTGTCACCCAGGATGGAATGCAGTGATGTGATCTTGGCTCACTGTAGCCTCGAACTCCTGGGCTCAAGCAATTCTCTTGCCTCAGCCTGCTGAGTAGCTATGATTACAGATGTTTGCCAACATGCTGGGTTAATTTTTTAAGTTTTTCTAGAGTTGAGGTCTTGCTATGTTGCCCAGTCTGGTCTCAAACTCCCGGCCTCAAGCAATTCCCCCACCTTGGCCTCCCAAAGCATTGGAATCATAGGCATGAGCCACCATGCCCAACCTTATACTGTATTTTTATTGTACCTCTTCTATGTTTAGATAAGTGTAGATACATAAATACCTACCATTGTATTACAACTGCCTATAGTATTCAGTACAAGAACATACTGTACAGGTTTGTAGCCTAGGAGCAATAGGCAATATCATGTAGCCCAGGTGTGTAGTAGACTGTCTCATCTAGGTTTGCGTTAGTGTGTCTATGATGTTGACACAAGGACAAAATCACCTAACAATGAATTTCTTGGCAGGTGTCTCTGTTAAGAAGACATGACTCCAGTACTCTCAGGTGTAAGCTCTTTTCCAGTGATGACACCGGCACTCCCTACCCCCATCCCTCTGGAAAAAGAATGATCTAAAATGTTATGATTTAAAGCAAAAGGATATGCAAAGGTGAATCAGAGAAATTCAAAGAAAGGAGGGATTATATTAATGTCATATAAAAATAATTTAAGATAAAAAACAATTGATAGGATAAACTTGATATCTTTTATAAAAGAAATATACCTTTTTTTCAGTTATCTTTGAAACGTTTACCAAAATCAATTCTTGATTGTACACAGACAGCATTGGTTCTACCTCACCCAATGCGTGGGAGCACAGAAACTCTATTAGACCAAAGTAGAAATCAAAACCACTTAGAAAACTAGAATAGAGAACCATAACATGTACTGAAAGAAACAAAGTATACTCAGAAATTGATAATCTGAAAGTAGTAATTTGTAGACTATGAAACCATAGAAAATAATCTTCTGGTTTAAAAAAAATTAGAGGGTTGTTTGAAAAATAACATGAATTTTGCATATAAAAAAACTGAAAGGTTTTGCAAAATACAGTATTTAGCGGTCACAAACAGTGCAGGAAAATAAGAAGTCTACGAGCTTTAAGAAATGTAGAAGATTACTTGGAAAGACATAGTATGTTTGTAGATGATAAGACTGAGCATTATAACGTGTCAGTCTTTCTCGACTACGTTTCTTGAAAGCAGTTTTCCAGGTAATTTTTTAGTGTTCATTTGGAAGAATGAAAGGTAAATAGTGAAATGCCATTTGACAAAAATGAACAAGAAATGTTAATGCCCAAATCTTAGGGAGAGTTTAAGACAGGCAGTCTTGTATTACTACCGTTTTTGTGTAAATTGATTTATATTTTGAGACAAGCAAATTTAGAAATATTTATCGAGTCAAAAATTACTCATAGTAGAATTCCTAAGTAGGCCAATAAAAAAAGAAAAATTAAAATTAAGAAAAAATTATTCATAGCAATCCTTGTTTGGTGAAAGCAGTAATTATACTTTTTTTTAATAGCAAAAAAAAAAAAAAGTAATGAGTGTGGGAGTGGTTAAATGAATTATAAATAAATGTAAAGGGAAGCTACATGCAACCATGAGGCATATTTAGTAATATGGAAACTAACCATGCTGCAGTATTAGTTGGATTATATTTCATACATAATATATATCACACTATTCTGATATTTTTAATTGAGCATATTTCTAGGAGGGGGAGAAAATCATTGTGTTAAATTCTTCATTTTAGGTTAATGAAAAATATATTATTTAATTATTGTTTTTGATAGTGAGGAAATAACACCCAAATTATTTTTTCTTAAGTTGTACTATGTCACATTCTCTTTTTTCCTTATTCTGTGTTTTCTGTATTTTCTATAATGATCAAAAACCAAGAACGATGCAGACTCAGAATTAAACTGTAACACATTCTAGTTTTGTTATCAAAACTTGAAAATCAAAAATATTTCCATAATCTGTGAAAAATGAGTTTATAGGTACATTTTAGACTGAAGATTTCTTGCTGTATCTTTTTTTTTTTTTTGGCAGAGTCTTGCTCTGTTGCCTAGGCTGGAGTGCAGTGGCACAATCTTGGCTCTCTGCAACCTTCACCTCCTGGGTTCAAGCGATTCTCCTGCCTCAGCTTCTCGGGTAGCTGGGGTTATAGGCTTGTGCCACAATGCCCTGCTAATTTTTGTAGTTTTAGTAGACATGGGGTTTCACCGTGTTGGCCAGGCTGGTCTCAAACTCCTGACCTAAGGTGATCCGCCTGCCTTGGCCGAATGCTGGGATTACAGGCCCGAGCCACCGCACCCGGCCTTGCTGTATCTTTAGAGCTGGAACTCAAACTTGAGACTCCCAGTGCTATCCATTGTTATTCTGCCTGGAAGTATCTTTTTTCACCTGTGATCTGGGACAAGCAAGAGCATTTGTCCCAAGAAGAGCAAACAGGACTTCTGTTTGCTACTCCAGGAACATTATTTTGTTTCTTAGATAGTCCAGCTTTTTAAGCTTTGCCCTTTTCACATATATTGTTAGAGGTTTTTTTTTTTTTTTTTTTTTTTGAAAGAAAGTCTTTTGCCCTGTAACTGACTTTGACCAATTTTCCTTCTCTATATTTGTTAAATTAACTTTGGCGTTTTTCATCTTGGCTTACTAATTTCTGACTACCTCTTCCATCCTATCTATTCGTTGCAGTGTGGAAGATAAACGTGAGCTTACCCGTGACTCCTGGGCCTTGGCATCTGTCTTTTGCAGACTGCCTGGATTGCTATCCAATGTATTAGTCTGTCAAGGTTTAAATTTGGTGTAGGTGGGAGGGATGTAGGGACGGACACACAAGCTTTTAGAAAAGCCAGGCTCTCTAAGGAATTCAAGTGAAGCAGAGACTTCTTTTCATATTAAAGCAATGTAAAATGACAGAAAGAATTATAGGTATAAAATTGTGTATTACAAATGGGAAATTTAATTGGACCAGAGTACATAGCAGGTGATATTGAACCCCCTACCCTGAAAGAGCCTTTGTTTTTCAAGTATGGGATAGAACTGGAACACAGGGGCCTTTGTACATGGACACTGTATAGGCATCATTTGTTTTACTAAACACTCCTTTCTAAAGACGGCAAAAGCATATTGGCAGCAAGGTAGACTTGTCAGAACAATATACATGACTTTTAGACCCAAGCAGGTGGACTGCTTGACATGATTCCTCCGGGTGCAACGAATTTTTGTGTGTGGGCAGAAAGGAATGAGTCTTAATACTTCTCAGCAATATACTGTGGTTTATTTTCCTCTCACAAAGAAAAAGAATCATTTCAAAGAAATAACAATTATAAAGTACAGCAGCTTGTAAACGTTCTCCATTCTTTTTAATTCCCAGGAATGTGTGATGGGGCAGGAGATTTGGTCCCTGTGGAGTGTCTGTATAGCCAAAGGTTCTTCACAGATTTTGGTTCTGCCTCCTTTGCAAAAGTAGAAGAATGCCTTTCCTATGTTGTTAAAAAGATATTTAAAAATTAATATTTTGCACAGTGCTTTTCATTATGGGGCCATTTTTGTCTTAACATGGAGGCAAAAAACCTGTGACTTCCTCCCTGAAGTTCCTTCTACCCTTACATGGCTGAATCTGGGAGAGGTTCGTGCATTTTTCCCATCCTTATGGAAGTACACAAGTAATTACATGAACGTGCTACCTGTGCATACTTTTATTGGCTTTTGAAACATTTTATAGCTTTTCTATGTGTCACATGCCATGATATGTATATTACATTGATTATTTAATATTTACTACATATCCACGAGGTTTACTCTTAAGATATTTTGGCTCAGAGAGATAATTTTGTCAAGGTCTCATAGTGACTAAGTTGCAGGACAGACCCAAGCAGTCTGGTTTCATAGCACAGCTTCCTAACCACCGCACTGTTTTGCGTTTTGTCTGTTTAAAGGAGTATGCATAGAGAAGAATATTGGAGTACCTTGCTTAAAAATGACCAAAGGACAGATAACCCTAAATATAAAAGAGCAAAGGAGTTGAATAGACCTTTCTCCAAAGAAGATATACAAATGGCCGACAAGCACGTGAAAAGATGCTCCTCATCATCAGTTATTAAGGAAATGCAAATCAAAACCACAATGAGGCTGGGCGTGGTGGCTCACGCCTGTAATCCCAGCACTTTGGGAGGCCAAGGTGGGAAGATCACCTGAGGTCAGGAGTTTGAGACCAGCCTGGCCAACGTGGAGAAACCCTGTCTCTCCTAAAAATACAAAAATTAGCCAGGCCTGGTGGGGTGTGCCTATAATCCCAGCTACTCGGGAGGTCGAGGCAGGAGAATCGCTTGAACCCGGGAGGCAGAGGTTGCCGTGAGCTGAGATCATGCCACTGCACTCCAGCCTGGGCCACAGAGCGAGACTCCGTCTTCAAAAAAAAAAAAAAAGAAAAAAAAACCGTAATGAGGTGCCACTTCACATTTACTATTAAATGTAATAGAATGAAATGTAGTAGGATGGCCGTGATCAGTAAAATGGAAAATAGTAAGGATGTGAAGAAACTGGAACCCTGTACATTGCTGATAGGAATGTACAGTGTGGTAGCCACTGTGGAATCCACTTCCTTAAAAAGTTGATGTATGACCCAGGAATTCCACTGCCATATACACACACAAAAGAATGGAAAACTGATACTTAATTTCACATACATATATTATAAATAGTATTAGTATTTACAATAGTGAAAAGGTAGCAACAGCCAAAATGCTCGTTGTTAGTTGAATGAATACACCAATTGTGATCTATCCATACAATCGAGTATCATTCAGCCATCAAATGAATGAAGTACCCATACATGCTCCAGCACGGGTGAACCCGGAATACATTATGCTTAATGAAGGGAGCCAGACACAAGACGCCACATGCTCTGTGATTCCGTTTGTATGAAATGTTCAAAGTAGATGAATCCATAGAGACGGAGTGCAGATTGATGGTCGCTAGGGCTTGTGGGAAGGGGCACCCGAGAGCAGCTGCCTTCAGTGGGTATCGAGTTTTCCTCTGTAGTGATACAAATGTTTTGGAGCTGGATAGGTTGGTGGTCGTTTATCATTGTGAATGCACTCAATGTTACTGAATTGTTCTTAAAATAGTTAATTTTATGTTTCACCTCAAGAAAAAACAATAATGACTAAGTTATCCCGCGGCCCCTAGCTCTCAGGTATTACAGTCAGTTGCAGCTTTTATGGAGCACATATTTGCATGTTATTGGGCCAATAGCAAGTTAAACAAACACTGTGATAGGCAAACATTATCTTGAGCACTTTACATGTGTGGACAAGCACAATGACTGACGTGGTTCCCAGACTCCAGCCGAGACTCCAGGAACCAACAGCCTTTAAGAATTAACAGGGGAACAGACAAAATATGAAGGCTGTATGTTGATTTAGCAGACACTCAGCAAATAAAGGGCTTACATTTTGGTGACGCCAACAGCTAAAATGCTTTTTCACACAGTGAGTAGGGTGTTACCAGACTTACATGTGTGCTCAGGCAGCATGATCTTATCCTCCTCCTAATCAGGGTAGGTTTCAGTCATGCATGCTGGAGCAAATGATTCCGGTGAGAGAATCTGAAAGAACCCTATACAAACATGTACCTTTTTTTCTTTAGGACTGTGAAGGGAACGTGGCAGTGTGTGGCCTGGTGCAGCCTGTGCCCAGAGGGTTTTTCACGTTCAGTATAGACCTTTGATGTTCTCAGGTTATTTTCCAAGTTGCCCAGAAGCATGACACATACACTGCACTAAATCCTTGAGGAGTTGCAAGAAAACAGATAGTGCTTTTCTTCTTCTTTTTTTTTTAAAAAAGGGAGGGGAACCTAGTCCACAGTGCAGCAAAGCAGTTTGTCTGGTGTAGGTAATGGGGGTGTGGGTCACCGAGGATGACCCTTGTTGACCTACATTCCTGATCTCTCCCATTCAGATGTGCACATGTAGATCCATTTACTTCTAGACAGCCCTCTTAGGTTACTGAAATTATTGATTCAGCATTGTCTGCATTGCCAGGGCCTCCTCTCACCCTAATGTAGAGTGGGAAGTGGACATTTTTACTTAAAAATGTGTGAATTTTTCTTACCCAAATATTACTTTATTGTCTCATTGTAAAAATTTCATATATCTATATAACAGATATATATATCTGTAAGTAACTTTAATAATCAGACAAGCCACCTTCTCCACTCCCCGACCTTTATTCACTTTTACCATTTGCATCTAAGCTCACCTTAAAAACCTGTGACTGGTACATGGTGGCCTCTTCAGCTGCACACAATCTTGCCTGGGAGTTTTCCTGGCCTGAGGCTATAAGGTGGAAGATTGTTTCGACGACTTTTAACCCTTCACCTCTCCTCACCCCTGAAAGCATCAGCAAACCTCCCTCTTTCTGTCCCGAAATCCCCAAAGGCAAGGATGTCTTTTCCTGTTTTCTAGAGCTCACTCTTTTATTATTTGATGGACCTCACTCTACTAGTTATCTAGTCTCAATTATTTTCACCTTTTTTAGCCTTTAAATGTGCCTGTCTTCCTCTTAGGAAGGAAGAAAGCGAGGGAGGGGAAAAAAAGAAGTAATGCCTTTGCTCCACCTCTTCCTCTACTTATCTTTGAATCATCTCTCCTTTCACAATTACAACTGAAATTATTTACATTTTTAGTCTTCACTTTCTTACTTCTTGTCACCTCCGCTGTAGTCTGGCGTTCAGGTCCTTAACTCAATTGAAACTGCTGTAGTTGCGATGAGCAGCAATCTCCATGTTGCTCAATCCTCCGGATACTCTAACTTCATGTGTCCTGTGGACCGCTCCCTTTCGGGAACGCTTTTCCCTGGGCTTCGGTGACACCATACTCTCCTAGTTTTCTTCCTGCACTACTGTCTTCCCAGTCGGTGGGGTTCTTTCGCCACCTTGTTTGTTCTCTGCACACTGTCTGTGGGTTACCTTACTGATTCCTGTAGCTTCATTCACCGTCTCTGTGTGGCTGACTCCCAAAGTTAGCTTGTGTTTTAGTTACCTTTGTATACTTCCAGCAGCCAACATGGGACCTGTTGCACAACAGTAGCCTATGTTAAGTAAATGAACGGACTGATAAATAGATGTTTTCCATGATTGATACTCTTCCCAAAATCTTTCATTATTACCATTTGTCACCCATCACAAGAACATAAACTCCATGAGAGCAGAGACGTTATCAGTCTTGTTCAGGACTGTGTGCCTGGCACGTGGCACACGTATCCAGTATGAGCAAAAAACAAGTGGCTCACCCAAAATGATCCTGGCACCAGGAAGTTTCTCTTTGGGCCTGGCTTCCTTGGTTACTCACATGCCCCCGTCCATGTGTTGTAGGAAGAGGAAAGATGTAAGCATTAAGGATTTGGCTCACTGGGGCTGGTCCTGGTGGTTTGGAAATAGCAGATCTCTAAGGCATTCCATCACCTCATGAGAGAAGTCTTATTTATTTATTTATTTATCTATTTATTTATTTATTTCTTGAGACGGAGTCTCGCTCTGTCGCCCAGGCTGGAGTGCAGTGGCATGATCGCAGCTCACTGCAACCTCCGCCTCCCGGGTTCAAGTGATTCTCCTGCCTCAGCCTCCTGAGTAGCTGGGACAGGCACCCGCCACCACGCCCAGCTAATTTTTTTGTATTTTTAGTAGAGACAGGGTTTCACCATATTGGCCAGTCTGGTCTGGAACTCCTGACCTCAGGCAATCTGCCTGCCTTGGCCTCCCAAGAAGCCTTATTTTTATATAGCTCGTTTTCTCTCACCTGGGATCCCAGGTCAACCCCTTTTCAAGTTGGGAGAAACCAGCTAAACATTTTGTGTTTTAATTTAAATTTTGTGGTCTGAGTTGACTCTTGCTAGGGTGGGGGTAGAGGAGGAAACCCAGCAGAGAACTTGAACTAAGTCAAAATGGCACCTTCCCTCCTGAATATTCCTTTTATTAAGATGTCTGCAGATCTCCGAGCATTAGGTCTTCCATTCTTGGAGATTCTGACTTTCCTCTGTCATTATTTCTCTGCGGAAGGTTCTAACATTTGGCCAGTTGTGATTTCTCTGAGCCCTTTGCAACACTGCAGGGAGCACACTCAGTTGTATGCAGTGGGGCTGATAGCATCCAGGTCTCAGAAGCACTTTCCTTCCATATCATTGCCGATTTCCTGTTTCTTTTTTAATTGCACTTGTTCCTTTTATAAAGTGACAGTAGCTAAATTTATTTCTCAAGATGCTTACATGCTCTTTTAAAGAGTATCTAAATTAATAAACATTGAGTACAGAAACCTAATCTGAATTTGTGTTTTTATTGAGAGCACTCTCATTAAACACAGGCTGGAAAAAAAAAGAATCAACCAGACCCTGATGCCTCTTGCAAAATCTGATCTGTTCCAAGTCTAGCAGGTAGAGTCCTGATTGCCTTTATTTGCAAGTTCAGAAGAATGCAGGTAGGTGAAGATTAGAATGGCCTCGTAGTGAATATGTATAAGCCTATAAAATTAAAGTAGAACTTGGTTAAAGAGCAATACAATCTCTTGCTATTTCATGAATGCTTAGCAGTGTTATAAAGACGTGAACATATTGCTGTGTTTCAGTGAGCTACAGCCTTACCCTTTGATATGCTTAATTATTTTCAAGGTCATTTCTTTTTATAAAATCAAGGCAAGCTGGAAAATGTCAAACAGCCTACAAGTATAGAATAAACTATTTTCATTGTCATTTTATAGTCATATATAGTTGTGGTTTTGAGTTTCCCAGTTACAACCAGTCACTGAGTGTAAGAGTCACAATAAATTCTCTTAGGAACATGGTATCCTTTATCTCTTCAACCATTAATGTTCCAAGGATATTTTCAAATGAAAGAATGATAAAAATTAGTTGATGCGTTCTGGGAATATGCACATTTAAAATTTCAAGTTAACAATACAGATGAAGGTGGTTAAATGTGCAAGAGCTAGCTACAATAAGAGAAATGTAGTTGAGGCTACTGCTGAAGGGATTATGTACTTAGCCTCTAAGCCACTTAGGATATATATTAAGTTGGTTGTGCTCTACCATTTTGGCTGAAGATAATTTTCCCTTACATAAAGCAAATATTTAGTAACAAGTGAGGTAAGTCTGAGTTGTTCATTATGCAGGTTATATGGTACGGTTGAAATCCTGACCATACCACTAGTCTCTGTACCTCTGAGTAACCCTCACATTGTATTGTACTTAAAGGTTTGAGGTGATTCTTAAGTAGGCATTGTAACTGAGAAATATAAGTTTCAGATTTTTGCTGCCACCAGCTGTTAGGAAGTGCTGGTTATTTTGTAATGATGCCTGAAAACCATGGACTCCTCAGCATTGTGAAATTTGGATTTAGGGGTAACACAAACAAAAATTCCAGATTCTTGAGGAGATAAGAATTTTAAATGATTCAAGAACATGCACACCAATTCTATTAGTTTAAAAATAATTAATATGCCTTACGTGGCAGTAGAGTTCAGATCAGTTGGCTGCAATCTTCAGAAATATTTATTTATATGGTGTCAACTTAGGTTGTCTCTGAGACACATTCCAATTGATACTTCTGCCTGCCTCTGACAGACTTCTTTTCCCAGAAACACCCTCCACATATGCTTATTCCTGTTAGCTTAACCTAGTTCTAGAATGTTCTTTTAGGGTAATTGAGGTAAGACTCTCTTTTCACTTAGCCAACTTGGAGTTGTTGGCATTTCAATTAGTGGTCATTGCGGGATAGCATTACTTCACTCATTCTCACTTTAGATACATTGCTCCCACCGACTTATGTTGTATAGTAGTCCTTCTCTGATAGATTCACCAAGAAACTACTGTTGCTTAGCCGGCCAGGTACACGTCCACACGCTTTGACCTCACTTACTGAACCCACAGCTCTGCCACGCTGTCCTCTTCTGTTCCTGAAACTCTCCAAGCTTGCACCCAGGCTGTTATCTTTGTAATATTTTTTTTACCCTCTTGCAACCAACACACATGCACTATTGCCTGGCAAACTCCTACTTCTAGGAGTTTTTGGCTTGAAGCCTGCTATTGGCTTAACTAGAGAAGAGTCATATGAAGGTCTGGAGAGAGGCCAGATAAGTCAGAGCTGTGCATTCAAAGAAAAATCAGGACTTGGGAAGACATGTTCCTGCCTGTCATTTGAAATATACTGTCATTGGCCAGACCTGTATTTGATTCTCTTTTTACATTTTAGAAGAACAATACTTTTAAGCCATACATTTGATAAGAATGATCAAACCACCACTTTGTTGCAGGTTTACTGCTAGGCTCTGTGGGTACATCTATTCGCGGAGAAAGAAAAGTAAATTAATAATTACAATAGAGCATGATATACCAAGGTGGAGGCATAGACGGGGGCTGGGGAACATGAAGGAGACCATCGAAATCAAAGGTGGAGGCCAGAGAAGGCTTCCTGGAGAAACGAGGCCTGAATTGCTTTCTGAAGAACTGGTAAAAGATAATCTGATGAAAACGGGTTCAGCCTGGAAGAGAGGATGCCTGAAATGGAGGGAACAGCCTGTGTAAAGATGGAAACAATCTAACAGCTTAGCACACAGAGAAAACTGTAAGTCACTCAGTCCTCAGTGAGTTTGAAGTGCACGCTGAAAGCTGTAGGGCCCCGGAGAAGAAGCCTCTTGGGAAAATAGGCCTTTACAACCACAGCAAAGACAGTCTGTCATGCTTGGCGGCATGCAGGTGAGCTGTGCCAGGTGTGCCAGGCAGGCTGCATGTTCATTTGTAGAGGACTCTGCAAATGAGGCGCAGGGTGGAGCGGGGTGGTGCTGCCAGTGAACAAAGAGAATGAGGCTTACCTAGAGCAATCGCTGGAACACCTGTCTTGTCTGATGGCATCGTCTCGCTTGTCTGATGGCGTTGTCTCACAGTCCCAGCCTGCATGTTGGTAATGTTCAGGGCGAGAGGAGTAAGCAAACAGCCCCAGCTTCTGTCTGCTGCTGCTCTGGAGAATATCAGAGTTGCTCTGCCAGGTCCCACAGGTTCTTTTACATTCACCATCTCTATTTAATCTTCCCAGATTTGAAAATAATGGTTTATCCTGGATGTGATCTGAAAGTATTTCCCCAATGCTTACCCACAGGAGTCACCCACAGAATCCTCACTCACTGCTGTCCCCCATGTGAGAGCTTGCTATAGCTCTGTGTCAGGAATTTGGGAACAGTGTTGCTGGTAATGTGGAAATCATGAGAGACGTCATGTGGGGTTAGACAGCAGCCACCTTCATAGCTCCCTGCCTTTCTCACTTCTCCTAGACCTCTTGATTCTCTGATTCCTCGGGAAACTCAATTACCTTTCCTTGATTATGCAGAGCAATTTAACTCTCAAACATCCTTCGGCTCTGGGCCCACCTTTGCACATTCAGAAGCTCATTAATGTTTCAGCACCGAGGAACTGGCAGGAGCTTTGACATTTCAGTGTTGTCTTTTCTCCCTCCCCAGGTATCTCAGAGTGAGAAGGAGCAGTATAGAGATCTGCTTTCCCACTAATATGAATTTTCACCCCAAACCTCAGCATCAGATGAAGATAGTCATTTTCAGTTTTAATATTTTTTTCTTCTATGCATATTAGGTAGGCAAAGAAAGACATAGAGTTCTCTCTATCTAGAACTTTGAAATAAATGAAAATATTAGAACAAATAAACACTTCCTATAAATGTGAGTGAATAGGACAGTAGGTAATAACCGGAATGGATTTGGAAGAATGGATTCTGTCAGCTCATACTCAGAGGCATATTGTTAAAGCAGGGATATGAAGACAGCAGCAGAGTACAGGGGTTACAGGCATGAATTTAGGAGTCAGATCAAGCTGGGTTATAATTGTGTCTCCTCTCATTCCTAATCTGTGAATTTAGCTGAGTCAACTTAACCTACTGAGTTTACTTCATTATTTGTAAAATAAAGGTAATATCACCAGGTAAAGTGGTGCACTCCTGTAATCCCAGCTCCTCAGGAGGCTGAGGCAGGAAGATCTCTTGGGCCTAGTAGTTGAAGACCAGCCTGGGCAGCATAGCAAGACCACATCTGGGAGGTGGTGTGGAGAAAAAAAAAAGTACTCCCCCCACTCCAGGACCTGGCGAGCCCTCAGTACCGGTGGCTCCCATTTCACTCACAGTCTTCCTGGGCTGTGCTTCCGTCGTGTTCCCTGCACTCCTACACCCTGGTCTTCTGTTTTACAAGCTGGACCTATTATCCCACAAGGGACTTCGCACTTGCCATGGCCCTGCCTAGGATGCTTCAGCAGACATGGCTTATCACAGGCCAGTGCCCATTCTTGCTTTCTTCCTGCTAACAGAGTTTCAATTTTTTTTTTTTTCGGGGCTACAAAAGGCCCATTCATGCCAGTTAAAAGCAAGAAACTTCCTTAGCTTTACTGTATCTGTGGGACAGTTTAGAGCAGATGTAAGTGAACACTTATGGGCAGGGCTTCTGGGGAAGGTACTATTTGCGGATAGGAAGGGACTGACTAGGCTGGCTAGACACACCCTGCCCTTCAGCCTTCCCCATTCTTCATCACTGGAAGGCTGAGTTACTGCTCAGTAGTAGAGCAGCCCCCGGTGAGCTACACACCAGGAGGGGCAAAGAAAAAGGTATAAGGAGCTTGGCTCCCTAATGGCATTGTGGGAATCCAGTGAGAAAAGGGACCCTTTCTGTGGGTAAATCATTTTATTTGGTATTCTGTTGAAAGCAGTGAATTTAACTCCGGCTATTACACGTGCTTTCCCCCCAGCACTTTAGAAAAACCTTTTTTAATGGTTGGCGCTCTCATTCTTCAGGACTCCATTGAATGTGACTGCCTCAAAGATGCCTTCCTTGGTCATTCCCTCTAAAGTAGCTCTTCTTCCACACGCTCGTGGTGTATTCTGTTTTATTGTCGCCACATCATGAACATTATCTGAAAATATCTTCTCATTTATTTACTTCTCGGTACTGCATATCTCACGCTGGGTAGAATTAAGCTCCATTGGAATAAGGACCTGGTGTATCTTGTTCATTGCTCTATCTGTACTGAGAACTATGCTGATGTAAAGCAGGTGCTCAGTAAATGTTTCTTAAATGCATACAAAACGTGTTATCTAGATTAAAGAGCAACTTTTTACATTTAATCAGTAGTTTGTCAAGGAGAGGAAAATTAAGGTGGAATTCATGGTGTTGGAGTGATTATATCCCTTTATATTTATATATTCTGGTTTGTCTGTATATTTATGTGTAAATATAATTCACATCAATAAATTGAGCACGTATTATGTGCTAGGAATTCTAAGCACCTTCTACCTTTTCATATTTTTCAATCAATAGTTTTATAAAAAAGAGTAAATATAAAAAGGTATGCTTTACTCTACGGGGTAGTTCTCAAAAAAACAAAGCCAATTTCCTCTTTTAATCATTGCGTATTTATTTATTTATCTGAAAGTGTTTCTTCAAAGTGAAAGTTGAAATGTGTAGTAAACTTTCAAATAGAACTGCATTTTGTCTCAGTAGAAAATTCTCCATCACATATATCTCAATGACTTTGTGTCAAAACCTACTATTTTACCTGTCAAGATGATCTTCTTCCCTTACTGTGCATTTCAGAGGATGGAAGTACATAGAATGAAATTTTAGTGTCAGATACATCAATTACAAACCAACGGAGCTGTTTCATTTTGCACCAATGATGGAGAAAGAGAGTCAGGGGAAGAATGAGTCTATTTTTACCTTAAAGTAGCAGCATTCAGGATAAGATGTCTTCACTTAGAAATCAGTCATACCCTCGACTGTGGATCAGTGCAGGCTTTAATAATTCATTCTGAAACCTGTGCTTCCCCAGCTAGTGCTCCCTGGCTCTTTACTTATTTAAAGGTCTGTTTACCTCTCAGTTTGCACCTGCAACTGTCCATTCAATCTGCTGTGCATAACCAGTGGGGAATAAGCCCATTAATTAGAATAATTTAAGCATCTCAGCTTCCTGCAATCTTCAACCTAGTGGGGTCTCACTGGCAACATACTTCTTTATGAAGCTCATCTCTCATCTGAACCACAGGTCTAGATCCTTAATGCAGTGATCAGAAGCTTGCGATTCTGTGGCACTTGAAAATTTGGAAGCCCCATAATATATGGTCTGGTTTGCAGATTCTCAACGCAGTTCCACTAGGGATTGACACACCCATGCTAGTCTCTTGTGTAATTAACCACAACAACAGATTGTAGCAGAATATAAAAGAAGGAAGCTGACCTATGGGGGGGAAAAAAGACAAAGCTTATTGTTGTGGCAAGGAGGGACTTCATTCTTTTAGGACAGGCTATCCAGGTGACCTGATAATGGATATAGAGGAATTCCAGTATTGAATTAGGCCTTTTGCATCTGACAAAGGACAGGATTAAAAGGAATAACTTGGGAGGGAATGTCTGTTGGCATCTGTTTGCTTGATGATCCACCCATGATGCCTGACCGGATGAGAGCCTGTCTTTGGGAAGCTCATGAGTTTATAAGAAACAGAATTGCTGCTGTTTCTTAAACTAGGCAGTGTTCTGGTGAAGAACGTGGGCTCTGGGACAAGAGGGCCATTTGCTGGTTGTTTTCTCTTGTCGAGTTAATTATCGCTCTGCCTCAGTGTTCTCATCTATAAACTGTGAGTAGCCAGACCTCCCTGAAGGACACTTGCTGGCAAGGCCAAAACACAAGCTACAAACAGAGGCCAAGCAGTGGAGGCAGGGGGCGCCCCGAAGGGACAGGTGACAGGCAGTGATGCCAAGGGCAGCTCTTGTCCTCGTCCCAGACTTCGCTACTCATTGGCTTTGGTGATGTAAGCGCTAAGTAAAAAGCTACTGCTGTTCCAAACAGATGTGAGGCGAAGGTTTAAGCTTTGCGGTCTGCGTATGACCTTTTCATCTTTGCCCTCGTACCTCCTAGCATCCCTTTCTTTGTGAATGGTGCCTACGTTGGATTGTTTATCCAAACCAGACACCTGAGTCATTCTAGGGTCCTTTGTGTCACCCACCTCCATGATTCAGCAAATCACTAAATACGGTTTGTTCGACCTTTTTACCTGTGATTTCCTTTTTAGTGTAGGTAATTCCTCATCAGCCTTCAAATTCAGCTCAAATATGACCTCTTAAGGGAAAGCATTCTGTGACTCTCCCTTTCGTAGTCTGATTAAGGTGCCCGTTTTCTTTGCTCCCCAAAACACCTTGTAGATATTTTAGGAAACACAGCATTTCTTGCAAATGTTAATTTAGTTTCCTCCACTAGACTCTTAAGCTCCTGTGGGCAGAGACTGAGTCCTATTTGGTTTTATATCCCTAATGGTTGGCATAGTGCCTCACAAATAACAGGCTTTTAATGTTTATTGAAGGAACCAAAGAAAGTAGGTTTCTGTGAGTTCACCTTGGATCATAACCATGATATAGAACTTATTTTTATGGGGAAAATATGTTCTTACCTTCCCAATAACTCAGAGTTATAAGCTTTAGAGTATTAGCAGATGTCATTCTAAAAGTTCCTTTCTTTAGAATCTAAATTATTTAAAAAACTTAATTTTGTGTGCAGGTAAATTGCTTGTCTCTGCCCTCATCAACATCCCAGGGGCAGGATTTAAAAAAATCTTCACGTTGTTGTTTTATTTTGTTTCACTTTTTTCTTGCCCATTTCTGATACAAAAATGGGACAAAGAGCTTTCTGATGGAAAGTTATTATTAGCTCCATTTACTAGAAATGATTCATAGGCCCAAGGAAGTCTTTTTGCATGTAGTAAACACATAGTAACCAAATTAGGTATGTGAGCCAAAGGTTAAGAGCCAAAGTCAAACTTCCAGACCTTAACATTAATTGAAAAAAAAAAATTCTGTCCTTCGAACTCTGTAGCTCAAGATAAATGTGATTCTTAGAGGTCGATATATTTTTTTTTTTTTGAAGACATAGTCTCGCTCTGTCACCCAGGCTGGAGTACAGTGGCACAATCTTGGCTCATTGCAACCTCAGCCTCTGAGATTCAAGCGATTCTCCTGCCTCAGCCTCTGAGTAGCCAGGACTACAGGTGCGTGCCACCACACTAGGCTATTTTTTTTTATTTTTTATTTTTAGTAGAGATGGGATTTTCCCATATTGGCCAGGCTGGTCTCGAACTCCTGACCTCAAGTGATCCACCTGCCTCGGCCTCCCAAAGTGCCGGGATTACAGGCACGAGCCCCTGTACCTGGCGAGATGTGTAGTTCTTGGTGCTAACTATGAGCATCTTTAGGGCATGAAGCAGATCTTCACTTCTGTATTGCCAGCATTTAGTACAATAAGTGTTTGGTGAAAGATGAACCAATAAGTGAATGATTGTATTTCCTTTTCAGCTTTCATGAGAAATTATGTGATGATCAGACTGTTTGGTTTGATAACCTTTTATTGTAAAGGTAGTTTTTGATTATTATAGAGCAGCACTGGTTGATGGGCTTGAAATTTTATATTTTTCTTTAATCAGCATATCTACAAACAATCAGTGGAGTATTCCTTTTGGGTTGCCATTTTGAAACAAGAAACGTATGGAAATAAGGGACGAACATTATCTGCTTTCTCTTGGCTGTGTCCTGAAAGAATTGGAATTTGCTGTGGAGCAAAAGCTAAAGATTAAGCAATATTTTTTTCTTTTTAAAGTAATACCAGTATAATTGCTGGAATTATTAGTAATAGTATTACTATTATTCATTATTAAATTTCTCATTTTATTTCAATCTCTCCATCAGGAATGACTTGTGTAGAGTAAGGGAGTTTGGGAGGGAAGAAAGCTAATTCATAAATTCATTTTTCTTGTTTAATATACTGTTTGTTTTGGGCCAGGCACGGTGGCTCATGCCTGTAATCCCAGCACTTTGGGAGGCCGAGGCGGGCAGATCACAAGGTCAGGAGCTCGAGACCATCCTGGCTAACACGGTGAAACCCTGTCTCTACTAAAAATACAAAAAATTAGCCAGGCGTGGTGGTAGGCGCCTGTAGTCCCAGCTTCTTATGAAGCTGAGGCAGGAGAATCACATGAACCCGGGAGGCGGAGCTTAGAGTGAGCCAAAATTGCACCAGTGCACTCCAGCCTGGGCGACAGAGTGAGACTCCATCTCAAAAAAAAAACAAAAAACAAAAAACAAAACAAAAAAAAAACATTGTTTGTTTTGATGGTAACTTCATGTATTTCATACATTGTCATTGTAACACATTAACTAAGTGTGGGGAACAATGAACAATAAACCAAGAGCTGTTTCTCTGTTGTGATACTTCTTGTTGCCAAATTTGTGGGCTTTCATAGTTCAGGAAATCTTCCTGCACAACTGCTTTGAAAATTACTAAATGTTAATTACTATTCTACTGTTTTTAAAGGAAAGCAGAAAACACTGCATCTGAAAGTCTATTAAAAGAAACTAGGAGGGCTATTGGTTTCAATTTCTAATAGCTTTATAGTGTGTCCTGGGCATCCTTCTGTGCCGTGAGCGGGGGTCAAATTCTGAAGACTTAAGCCCTGAAGCACTTTGCCGGTATAAACAGATCTCTCACTGGGGCAGATTACTTACCTGGAGCTGTATGGAGCAGGATCAGCTAGAACATTACACCTTTTATATCTTACTTTGCCAAAGGTATCATTCACTTAGTAAGAGAAATGTTAACTTTTTCCATAGTTAGTAGCGATAGAAGCAGAGCGGATGGCACAATGAAGCCATCGGAGCCTTTAAGGCCCTTATTATTTCCATTGATTCGTTCAGTGAATGTAGGCTGCGTGCAATACCACATGAGTGGATATAGCCAAAGCTATGCCAGATTGATTGATGGATTGCCTTTAGTAAACTTGCAGTGTAATGAGGCCACAGTAATGTAGAAGAGGGAGTGACTCATGTATGGGGCAGTAAGCAGAAAGGATTAAAGTCTTCTGCACTTTGCATTTAAGAGGTCATTAGAACCCACCCAAAGCAAGGGTAGATTTAGTGCCTAATGATGTCACAGTACATATTATGAGAGGTTGGAAATTTGGGGAAATGGAGATGATAGCAAGTATAAAGGGTTTTTTTTCTAGCAACCTGGCTATTAAGGGATAAATAAAGTGTTGTAGCTAGAGGTGAATGAGGTTAAAGGTGGGATTGTTTAAAATAGAAGACTTAGGCCAGGAGTGGTGGCTCACACTTGTAATCCCAGGCTTTGGGAGGCCAAGGCAGGAGGATTGCTTGAGGCTAGGAGTTTGAGACCAGCTTGGGAAACATATTGATACCCTGTCTGTATTAAAAAACAAACAAAACAAAACAAAAAAGTAATTAGCCAGGCATGGTGGCGCAGCTTCTGGGGAGGCTAAGGCAAGAGGATTTGTTGAACCCAGGAGTTCAAGGCTGTAGTGAGCTATGATCATACCACTGCACTCCAGCCTGGGTGACAGAGTGAAACCCTGAAAAGCAATCGGCCAATCAAAATATAAATAAAATATATTTCCCTCCCTCCCTCCCCCTCTCCCTCCCTCCCTCCCTCCTTCCCTATCTCCAGCAGGGTTTTAGGCTGAGGGGAAGTGATGAGTGGGAAGTAAATGAGACTGAAGATAAGGAAGTCCAGGTTATGACTGTAGGAGACAGAGAGGATGTGGAACACAGGAGAATGGATGGTCTGTGTAGGAGGACTGTTCCTCTCAAAAGTGGGGAGAGTTTAAAGGAGAAGGATAATGCTGTTTATGGGGGTTGGGTAGGAAGTTGGTAGCAGGGCTGTGGCTTCTGTTTTCTTTGTGAATTTGGAAGCAAGATCATCTGAGGGAGACGCACACACGCAGAGGCTTGGTGCTTGAGTAGACAGTTGGAAATTTGAGAGAACTTCTGCACCATGTGATACGGTTCTGGGCCCCATGCAGCTACAAGAGAAAATTGGACATCAGATATGTTGAGGAAACACTCCCCAGAATTTGTTGCATGATTTCCTCCATCAAAGCTTAGCAGCCTAGTGTTATAAAACATAAAAATTGCTAACATTTATTGAGTGCTTACTTTGTGCCAGGCACCTTACTGTGTAGTAACACAGTCCTCAAAACAGTGTGAAATAGCTCCTATCATTACCTATTTTTACCATCCCCATTTTGCAGATGTGGCTGAGAAAGGTTAAATCTGGGTGACAGGATGAGACTCTGTCTTTGAAAACAACAACAAAAATACGTAATGTTAATTCCAGGTTAATTTATTTCTATAAGGACACACTCACGTAGTGTAGCCTGATCAGCAAAATGAAATTTGCTTTCATTCAAAAGCCTTTATTGAGGAAGTATATCTAATCGAATGAAATTGTTTGTCTGCTCTTTAGAATGAAATTACATGCAATTAAATGAGAAAAATCTTCACTCAGTGCGTAAAACATAGCAAGTGTATGGAGAATATTGGTTCCCTTGCCTTCCTCTGCACTTGCTCTGAGTGAGCAGCTAGACTGAGGTGGCATTAGTTTCAAGGCACATAACTCTTGCTTTACCAACTTATAATTGCTCAGGATGAAAATAGCAACAACATGGTACTTCCATGCTCGGTCTTCACATAGCCAATGACAAGCTCCTCCAAGTCAGTTCTGAGTGTCCTTGTGGCTGATCTGTGGACTACACCCTTGTCCCCAGGATGTGTTAACAAACACTCTCTTCCCTCCACTTCTCTACATCGTCATCCCTGCTCTCCAGACGCCAGGTGTCCCAGGCTGCCTTTTCTCTCCTCTGGATGTGGGCTGCCTGCCGGGAGCCTCTCTTATTTTGTCACCCAGGCACTTTCATGTTTGTTTTCTGCTCCAGCAGCCACTGGGCTGAACCCTTCACTTCCAGGGAGCTTGTTTTGTTTCACAGACTCCAGAGGAAGTAGTTCCTCCTTGAGCTCCCAGAAACAGCGTTCTCAGTGAAGTAGTTTTTCATTTATTGTTGTTTTGGCCCCCACATCCCACAGTGCTGACCTCTGACTCAGGGGTTGGAGTTGTCCACTTGAAATTTCCTTCTTCTATTTCTCCATTTTCTTTTGACCAAGTCTGTAAGCATTTGCTTCTTCCCATTACTTTCTCCAGAAGATCTCGGCTCCTGCCACAGGAAGGTCACTGGAAAGCAGGCCTAGTAGAATGCCAGACAGGCCTACATACGCCTGAATCCTTGGGAATGCACAGCTAGGCTCTGAAAATACCTCTGTATGGTATTGAATCTACTTCTGGGGTTGAAACGGGCCTTAAAGATACTTGGGTAGTTAAAGAAAATTATTTGCTCATCTAATCAAGTGATGTTTGAATCTGTCTGCTGGTGGAGTGAGGACTGTGGAGGAAGGATCGACAAATATTTATTGAGTAGATGCTGAATGTGACACTATAGGCTAGGTCCTTTTCAAAGAGTTTTTTATTTTTTCTTTGTTCCAGTAGTCTTTCAACATAGGTTTGTTATCCTCATTTCACAGATGGGAAAACTGAAGGTCAAAGAAATTAAAGTTACTTGGTTCATTGCACTAAGTAGCAGAGCCAGGATTTTAAACACCTTGGCCATGAACCCCATACTTTTTGTACCATATCAAAAAAAAAGGGAGTTAGATTCATTATCTAACAGGAAGTCCATCTATCCTGCTTGTAGAAGGACAAAATGATATTGAAAGTAGGGGGCTGTGGGGCTATTTTTTCCCCTCAAGGAATTTTTTTTTTTTTTTTTGAGACAGAGTCTTACTCTGTTACCCAGGCTGGAGTGCAGTGGCACGGTCTTGGCTCACTGCAACCTCTGTCCCCTGAATTCAAGCAATTCTCCTGACTCAGCCTTCTGAGTAGCTGGGATTACAGGTGCCCGCCACCGCGCCTGGCTAATTTTTGGATTTTTAGTAGAGACAGGGTTTCACCATCTTGGCCAGGCTGGTCTTGAACTCCTGACCTCGTGATCCACCCGCCTCGACCTCCCAAAGTGCTGGGATTACAGGCGTGAGCCACTGCGCCCAGCCAAGGAATATTTTATGAGTAATAACTTCTCTAGAGTATCATTTCAACCTGGAGCCAGCCATCTGAACAAGCCTTCCTCCATCTCTTTTAGGATGGTAAGCTGGGGCATGATGTTTAAGACTTCTTGGCTCTTTGGCAGGGCTCTGGAGGGGAAGTGAGTAAGCCATTGGGATGTCACTGTGGTAATGTGGACAGGGTTTTCTGGTTTTGTCTCCTTCCCTGTGGCCTTTTTCCATGTCCCCCCAACCCCTGGACTTCCACGGCTGGGCCAGACATTTCCCTTCTTAGACAAATAGACTCGCTTCATCCCCTCCATAGCTGCAGAGGAGAAATCCTTGGTTTGGGTCCCAGTTTTTCCATATAGGCTATTCTTGTGCTTTATGCAGACAGAAACATTAGTACAGTATGTACAGAATTAGCAGTATAGTAATAAGTCATTTTAACCAACAGATGTAAAAAATGCTTCAGCATACCTTTGTAATACTAGGCCTGATTACAGAATGGGAGTGGTCTGTATAAGTGAGCTGTGGTAGAAAATACAACCCTTCAGAATAAGTTAAATGTAATTAACTTCACTTTACCAGAGTCATTTTTGTTCCCACAGTTACCCGAGTACTAATTTCTAAACTTGATGTGTCAAGAATGTGGCAGAATGGTGTCAACTTAATGGCCAAGAAATGTGATCTGTTTTGAAAGAGAATGGAATATTATAGTCTATAGTACACAAGAATGGAATATTATAGTTTATAGTATACTTTCTTTGAGTAACATTTCTGTGAACATTGAAATTGGGAAAGAAGATTCTGTTATTTTCTTCTGAGACTTAAGAGAGTATCACATTAAAGTGGCAAATTTGTGTTTATGCCAAATGTTACTGTGATGTTTTCTTCTATAGAATCAATCCCTGTAAGGTAAGTTAAAAAAACAGAATTTCTTTCTCTATAGCTGCGGATGCAAAAGAACAGAGAGATTAAATTAACTTGCTTGTACATATAGAAGTTAATGGTTGTTTCAGATAAAGAATGTGTAGAATCATAAATTTCTTAGGACATGGGTTAAATGGCAGACAGAGGAATCTTTGGGTTACATTGTAGACAGAGGGGTGATCTTTGCATATGAGCAAGTTTTGTGTCTTATAGGTGGTGCTTTCAAGGATGCTCCTTAGAATCGTGATCTCTATTTTGAAAGGGATGAGGATTTGATGTTAATTTAATATTCTGTCTACTTGGCATATTTTGGGGTTTTGTCTGATGTAGCAGAAAAGTTCCTACCCAGAATAATTTTTAAAACATGGTAACATTGGATTAGGGCAGTAACACACTGCTCATCTCAATAATGCTTCCGGCTTTTGAATTCATTAAAATAATAAAAGCTTTTTTTTATCTGCCTCATTATTTTTAATGCAGTTCCATCATAGAGCAGACTTAATCCCTTTGTTGGTGAAGGTAGTTAAAATTTTCCTTTTGAAAGGAAAAAAAATTATCACTTCTGCTAGTTAATCTGATACCTTTCTCTTTAGGGTATTTTGAAACATATTAATAAAGACAAAACTAAAACTAAAATTGAGGATCAGTCACAGCAGAGTGAGAAACATGGCATGGCATTGTGGTAGATGGAGTAGAGGCCCAGTGATGGGGACAGGAATCCTAAATTCTAAGTCGAGCCCTGCTCTTCATTAGCTAGGTGTCTCAGACAAGCAGTCACTCAACATTTCTGCATCTCAGTTTCTTCGTAGAGAAAAGAAGGGTTTTGATATAGATCTCCATGGTTCTTTTTAGTGCTAATTTTTAATCATTTAATTGAAATGCAAAAAGAGGTATTTTAAAAATCAGGCCTTGCATATTTTTCATCTCTACTGACCCCACATCCTCCTCCAGCTACTGTCACATTTCTAGAATTTTCTTTCGAGAAATGATTCTCAAATGAGGCGTCTACTCCTTGTCTCTAACTGCATTGCCAAACATAGTTTTCTGACATCAGCTGCATTTGTCCTGGGACCCACCCTGAGTTGTAGGGTTTTCCTGCCACTCACCTGAGAACTCCAGGCTGAGCCTTCAAGTGCACTAAGCTAATTAAGTGCTGCAGTAACTCTGCCCTGGTGTCCTCTGATGGCACAGTTGCAACAGATGCATTGTCTTCTTGCTTATTAACAAGTAAAGGGCTGATCCCTGGAAAATGTTGGGGAGGGGGTTAGGATGGCAGTTGTGCTTTTCGTTCCAGAAGTCACTTAGTCATCTTTTCTTGGAGATGGCCTGTATACCTTGCCTAGCACAGTGTTTGTTGAACAGCAGGCATGTATGCCTAAGAGATTTTTCTCCATCTTTTCTTCCTCCCTCCATTTTCCTCCATTCTTTGCCTCCAAATCATAGTGTTATGTGATCTTCGGGGTGTCGCTTTTCTGGCCGGAAACCTCTGTGGCTGGTGGCACCTTTGCCCGTTTTTGTCCTGTGTCCAGGAAGAATGAGGTACTCAGAGAAGTGGAAGGTGAAGAAGATGAAGAGGAGCTTTATTGAGTGTCAGAACAGCTCAGAGGAAGCCCACTGTGGGTAGTTCCTCTCTGTAGGCAGGTCATCTAGTGGAGTGTTGAGCTCTCAGCAGAGAGGAGGCCCTGGAGATGGTGGCTCCTCTTCACAAGCAGGCCGTTCAGACATCTCTGCAGGTCTCTGAAGCTCTCAGCAGAGGGCAGCTCCTCTCTGTAGCTGGTTCGCCCATTGTCTCCACGTGCCCTGCTCTGGCTGAGCCTGAGGCTTTTATGGACCTCAGAGGGGAGGAAGTTCCTGCCGATTGGCCCATGGTCCTCCATGTGCACCCAGACGAGGCACCACAAGTCCCCACTCCGGTCCCGGACTGGCATCCTGGCCCCCAGCCTTCAGGCCCTCCCTGGTCTGAAGGAGGGGCCTTACGGGGACTGCCGCCTTCCACCCAGGAATCTCTCTGCCTCCTGCTGCCCCGGGCTCGGCCCCAACCCCGGTCGGAGATCAGAGCAGGCATCTGGAGAGGAGAGGGGCTGGGAAGCGGGAGCAGACACCCCCGAGCCTGCAGGGATGAAGTGGGGGGCGGGTCTTCCCGGGCCCTCCAGGGTGCAGGCTGCAGAGATGCCAGGTCTGCACCTGCGGAGTTCACGCTCCACCAACTCAGTAAAGGTGGGGCTCCCTCTTGTCCCTGGCTCCTGCCTGCTCGATTGAGCGCGAAGCCCAGGTCTGCAGCCGCAGCAGGGAGGCTGCAGCTCTACCCTGGAGGGCAGATCCTGTCTGCTCCCGGCCCCCACCAAGAGCACAGGGAAGCTCCGATCTCCAGCATCAGTTTGGGCAGCTGTAGCCCCACCCAGGAAGGCGGGGCGCCTGCCTGCTCCATAGAGCAGGAAGCCTGGTCTGCAGCCACGATTTGGGTGGCTGCAGTGGCACCCACGGAGCCCCTGCCCCAACCCAGAATGGGTGAGGCTCCCACCGCCTCCATGGAGTGTGCAGCCCTAGCCGGCCTCCCTGTTGCAGCAGCAGCTGCCATCAATAGATGGAATTACAACCACCGAGCACGTCCTGATTCACGTGACTTTCAACATGTTATAAAGGCATACTCTTCATGGGGGCTGTTTTCTAGCTTCTTTGTCTCACATCAAATGAGGGCTGCTCCCCTGGCTGGACCTATGGCTCCTGACATGACTCCCCGGAGGTGTGGCCTTTCTCCAGCAATAAATATCGAAGCTGCTGCCGTTCCTGAAGGCGAGCCTTTCCTTGGACTGGGAAATTAAGAGGGCAAGATCGCCTCCCTTCCCCTAGGGTTTGCCGGGGCAGCGTTGTTTACAGTGAAAAATGTGCCATGCAGCCTCAGTTTTAACCTGACCAGCGAACATATGGACTCGGATGGAAGCAAAATGGTGTATTGTAAATACTCCGGGTGCTTCCGCCACCAACGCAAGAAGCGAGGGGGAATCTAATTATTCTCGAACAGATTGTCCTCTGCCGAACACTGTCACGCCTGCCTGCCGATTAACAAGAAAACGGCCTGTCTCTAACTCCAAAAGCCACACACAACCGTCTGCAGGCCCCTGTGTCAGTTTGCTGCAGTGATTGGACGACACCATCAACCTTCACCAAGGGAGGAACAGTTTGGAGAGTTCTTGAAATTTTCAGCTGCTGCTTTCTTTCTTCTCTTCTGCCATCCTTCCCCTTCCTCCTCTCAGAATTGGTGCTGTTGTGCCAATTCTAGGTGAATTGGAGTATGTGGCTCTGGCTAGCATGGGTGTGTAGGCCCCATTATTAGATTCCTGGGCAGTTTGCCTCCTTTCTAGTCTCTGCTTCCCAGACTGGTTCTCCACACTCCGCTTCACTTCTAGTTTATTCTGTCTTCCTCAAAACTCACCCCCAGGACGGTCTTCTGTTAGTCTTTTATGCCTTACCCTGCACCGGGTCTGCATACCCTCCATTCTGAGAAAGCCAATTGTGTTTACTGTCTCCTCTTTAACTGCTGAAGGAAGGATGGGTGTTGGCACTTGGCGGAGAAGGAGGTTTGTTTGGACAGAGGTCTCTTTCCCAAACCCTTGTCGTTAACTCACATGTGCAGGTACGTGTTCTACTGAGGTCAGGCCATAAGCATTTTCTTCTTTTTGGTCCATTTACAGTTCTGTAGTTTGATTCTTTGATATACAAATGTCCTGGGTTGCTGGAAATCCCTAGAAATTTTAGTTTTAAGAAAAGGTCATAAGCTGTTTTAGTACCTGGATTCTTCTAAAAAGTTCATGTTTATTCACTTCCCTGTTCTTCCTGCATGGTGCACCTTTAGGCTGGTGTATTTTCCTTATCGGAGAACATGGCATGCTTTCTTGTCTTGCCCTTTATCTATTTCTCCCAGATAGGTAAGCTCCCTGAGGGCAGGGATACCCTCTACCTTCTTGCGATTATATCCTCAACAATTGGCACTTCGATCAGCCTGTGAATACTCAATAACTGTATATTAGAAAATAATGACTGAGCCTGCTTTAAGAGTGCTTTAAAAGCATTAGGGTTGAATATGAGTTTTGAAGTCAGACAGACCTGGAATAAAATTCCTTCCTCTACTCCTTAATATCGGTAAGACTCTTTGACCTTTCTAAGTCTCACTTCCTCATTTGTATCAGATTCGATCTTGGATTGTCACTAATTCAATAATAGCTACTAACATATATTGACCACTTAGTTTGTGCCAGGCATTATGCTTAGCAGTCTACATGGATGGTTTCATTTAACCTTCGTGATGTCTGTGAGATGAATGCTGTTTTTTTAATTAGCTGCTTTTCTCAGGTCGGAAAGTCAATTTAAGAGGCTTACGCTACTTACTGAATGTTACACAGCTAGAAAGTGGGCTGAGTTCACACTCGGTCACCTGATTGCCAAGCCTGTGCTCTTAAGATCTCAGGTTCATTGAAGGCAGCAACATTTGGTGAGTATATAGCAGTTAATCAATAATCAAAACAAGTAAAATGTAAGAACAGCACTTTAAAACTTGTCTTTAATCCAGTGAAGCTCAGATGCCTATATTGCCTTTTAATTGTCTAAGCACTTGCACAAAATTATCTAATATGATCCCAACAATTCAGTATTATTAGTCAAATTTAATATGTAATAATTGGGAGAATAAAAGCTATTTATTGAGCTATTCGCTGCTGACACTACATACATTATAACTAATATTCCTGACAGCCTTTTGAGTTAGATGTTATACCGCTTTCATTTTGCAAATAAGAACCAGAAGCTCAGAGAAGTTTCTGAACTTGATCAAGGTCACATTGTAGCTCAGATTAAAATTTGCATCTGAGCCAGGCATGTGTAGTCTCAGTAACTCAGGAGGCTAAAGCAGAAGGATCCCATGAGCCCAGGAGGTCAAGGCTATAGTTTACTATGATTGAGTGTGTGAATAGCCACTGTACTCCAGCCTGAGCAACACAGTGAGACCTTGTCTAAAGAAAGAAGAAAGACAAATTCAGATTTTCAAGCCTGTGTTCTTTCCACTATACAAAACTATTAGGATGCTTTCGTGAGGCGGTGGGGAAGTTGACTTTCTGGAAGTTTTTTGCTATCCAGATCCGGGAAACCCGATTCGTGCTTCCTGAATTAGCTCTGTTATATACATTGCAGAGTAAATTCTGTGTCCCTAGTCTTCTGTGAAGTGGGAACATGGTGCCTGTGTCCAAGTGTTTTATCTCTTTCCATTAAAGTCAGCAGTTTTCCAAAGGTCTTGTTTATGAAGGTTATTAGTTATGCAAAATGGGCCTTTATGGATAGTTCTATGAAATGATTCCAATTAAAAAGAAGTGGGTAGATTGCCAGTTGGTGTCAGCTAATTAAATTATGATATGCTCCTGTCATTAACAAGGACTCTGACTGGAGGAAAAATAAAAAGATAAAAGCAAGTTTCTGAAATTTGTTGACAGGGAGGGTATATTACTTTGCCCATTCTCATATAATTAGAAGAATAAAACAGGAGCTTCCCATTTTGTATTTGAAATAGGGAAATCTGTTATTACTTTCTTCTAGGGTATAATTAATCAAGTTCAGCTGCAGTATTTTAGATGTTATGGTGAAATGGAGTTTTATTAAAAACTGTAGTTTAATAATAATGGATCAGTTGTACTGACATTATTGCAAACATAAAAATGAGCTTCGAATACCAAAAACACATTCAATAAATTTAATTGAGAAGGGGCTGTGTTAGAATTTTTAGGCTGGTTCCACGTCAGTGTTTGCCATGAGTAAGAGAAGACATTGGTACCCAGGCTTGCCCTGAAGAGTGCCAGGGACATGGCGGTAGCAGCATCCCGATCTTTAGTAGTCCTCTGGCGGGTGTATCCGTCAGCTCTTGTCAGCTCGACAGGGAGGCTGTCCGTCCAGGTGAGGAGAGCCTTGCCGGGCTGCAGTAAGTAGCTTATAAGTACAGTCAGGGAATGGAGAAGAAAATCTCCAGCTTTTCCTCCAGCTAAAGTTATCAATCTTTACAGGTACTTCTGGAAGCTGTTGGTTAGCCATGCTGCTGTTGTGTGAGGAAACGAGTGCCTGGCTGGAAAGCACAAGGCTTTGGGAAAGTTACTTTTTCTGCATTAAATCAAATGTTCAATATCTTGATCCTGTGCCCTTCTGTGAGGTGATGTAGTGGAGCATTCTTCTAGACATATAGGTAAATGGTGTTGACCTAACAGATGGGAGGATCCAGAAGCATAGAGGCTGGGATCCCAAAGCATGAATAAGCAGAATCTAGAATTTAGACCTTACTAATTTGACATTTATGATGATTCATATAGTGCTGCTTTGATTGATTGATTGATTGATTTGAGATAGGGTCTCGCTCTGTTGCCCAGGCTGAAATGCAGTGACACAATCATGGATCACTGCAGCCTTGACCTCGTGGGCTCAAGTGATCCTCCCACCTCAGCCTCCCAAGTAGCTGGGACCGTAGCCACATGCCTCTATAGCCGGCTGATTTTTTGTATTTTTAGTGGAGATGGGATTTTGCCACATTGCCCCGGTTGGTCTTGAACAAGCTATCCACCTGCCTTGGCCTCCCACAGTGCTGGGATTACAGGTGTGAGCACCATGCCTGTCCTGCTTTGACTTTTTTTCTTTCAAAATGTGTTATGGAGAGAACTGACTTAGAATCCTATTGTATACCCAAGACTGCAAGGACACTGTTTAAACTTACAAAGAAAGGCACCTGTTTTGAAGCCTTTGGGAAGACGTATTTCTTGCAGTAATGCATGATTCACTAAGAGTCCCTATCCTTTAAGCAGGTCCCAAGACCCTCTACACTGTTAGTCTAATTGGAGGATGCATGTTTGTGTGTGTGTGTGTGTGTGTGTGTGTGTGTGTGTGTGTATTAAATATACAACTGTATTTCCATTAAAAAAGATAATGTAATCCAGGTTAGCTTTTTTGCCTGTTAATTCACATTAGTGAGATTTTGTTGTCCATTGTGGTGGCAATTATTTCTTACCATTCCATGTGGGTCTTACACAATTAAGAGAGGCTGGTTGCACAGCCAGACTTGCACAGAACTTTCTACCCTCGTGTTTATCTCCATGAAGAAGCTGCCAAAGGTTGGAACTAAGATCACCAAGCCCTTCTTACTTGTCTTCACACTAAACATGCTTCATGATGTTCTGGCCAATTTGTGTTTGTAGGTGTCCAGAAAAGAGCAATATACTTACGAGAACTCTCTACTGAAAGTACAGCAGTGCCCCCCTTATCTGAGGTTTCATTTTCTGTGCTTTTAGTTACCTTTGGTCAACTACAGTCTAAAAATATTACATGGAAAATTCCAGAAATAAACAGTTCATAGGTTTACAGTCGTGCACTGTTCTGAGAAGCATGATGGAATCCCGTATCCCCCGGGACATGAATCATTCTTTCATCAAGCGTATCCATGCGTATACACGACCTACCCATTAGTCACCTAGCAGTCACCCTCAGTTATCAGATGGAGTATTGCAGTCTCACAGTGCTTGTGTTCAAGTAACCCTTATTTGACTTAATAATGCTCCCAAAGTGCAAGACTAGCGCTGTCAATTTGGATATGCCAAAAAGAAGCTGTAAAGTGCTTCCTTCAGTGAAAAGGTGAAAGTTCCCGACTTAATAAGGAAAGAAAAAAAAAATACGCTGAGGTTGCTAAGATCTACAGGAAGAAAGAATCTATCCATGAGACTGTGAATAGTATATTATTATAATTGTTTTATTAGTAATTATTTTTGTTAATCTCTGTGCCTAATTTATAAATTAAGCTTTATCATAGGTATGTATGTATAAGAAAAAGCATAGAGTATAGAGGGTACAGTACTATCTGTGGTTTCAGGCACCCACTGAGGGTCTTGAAATGTATCCCCTAAGGGTAAGGGGGACTACTGAATCGAGAAGAGAGGTATCCTTCTGGTGCTAAAGAAAGAAAAAAGAATGTGGTATACTGAGGTTCAAGGCCGGTGATGCCTGATTCTTAGTGACTGCTATCTTCTGAGCAAGTTCTTTTTGCTTAAAGGTAATTTCTTAAATGTGAGAGTAAGGAAGAGGAAAACTTTGAAAAAGAGAATGAACCCAAACATAATTTGACTTCTTTATAGGAAACTTAACTTTGTTTCAAAATAAGTCTTTCATTGCTTCCAGCTCGACTCTGCTTCCACTGAACATAGAACTCAATCACCAGGGTTTAAACAGCAACTAGTGCTGTATTCCAGGAGATGTGTTTACTAAATGGAATCTTGAATGTTTTTACATTGCTTTATGAATTCTGGACTGTTTAATAAATTTAAATGAAGATTTTTTTTAAATGTGTTTACGTTGGCATGTTAGTCATTTACTGCAGAATTTTGAGTACATTCAGGGGGGCTGTGGTTCTGTAAAGGACTTACCACAGTTTCTAGCACACTGTACATGTTTAATAGACATTATGCTGCTGTTGCTTTTGTTGGCTACCATAACTGTGAAGGAGAGAATTGAGGACAGTAAAATGAAAGTAAGTAATCATAGGAATGCACCATCTGTCAAGGTGTGCTTAAGACATTAAAATTCCTTTGAATATCCGTACAAATGATAAAATTTGAGAAATAATTGTTTGTCTTTGTTTTACCATTAGGCTTTTTGGTAGCTGTATCCTGTCGCCCTGTTCAACATTTGCTCATATCGTGTGGAATTCAAATCCTGCTAGATCTTTTGCAGAGTTTCCAGTTCTGTTGTGTGTATACAGTGACAGCTGAGTTCAGTATGGGTTGTTAGAGAGAGTTGATTTCCAAGCCAGATACTTTTGGGTTCAAGTGACTGCTCCCTTATGTATTAGCTCCATGTGACCCTAAGACATTTAGTGTCCTATGAACCTTTCTGAGAATTGTTCTGAGTTTTCCTGACAGAGTCACCAGCTTCAAGAAAAACATAGCAGTTGAACGGATAGGTCACCTGAATGAAGCCTGCCCACTTGGGTAGCCCCTGACAATACCTCTACTGTCATAAGTTATATAAGATAGTAAGTATTGATCCTAAAGATGGTCCTGAATTGCCAAGGAAGATAGACTCCACTCTGCTAAGCCAGTGACCGTGATGTGCATTTGAAACGCATTTCCTTCCAGCTGGGCTTGGTGGCTCAGTTCTGTGATCCCAGCAACTCAGGAGGCGGAGAGGGGAGGATGGCTTAAGGCCAGGAGTTCAAGAGCAGCCTGGGCAACATAGTGAGACTCCATCTCTAACGGGGCATGATGGCATGTGCTTATAGTCCCTACTACTTGGGAGGCTGAGGCAGGAGGATCACTTTAACACAAGAGTTTGAGGCTGCAGTAAGCTGTGATTGTGCCACTGTACCCCAGCCTGGGTGACAGATTGAGACCCCTATCTCTAAAAAATAATAAATAAATAAATAGCATTTCCTTCCAAATGGGCGGGATAAAAAGGTTTGATGCTTTAAAGTATAAACTTTAATAGGAAAATAATCCACCACGGAGCAGTTCCTTCAATGAAGATGGTGGACACTTCCGTTCTCTGTTGCACAGCTGCAGTAACTGCTAGCGGTACTAATACTACTGGTGCTAGTACTAATACTAAAGCTAACATTTGTTGACCTTATATTGTTGCTAGAAAGTGTAAGTCTTTCATTTTTTCTTAGTCCCAAAGAATACGTGTACAAGATGAATACCACTAATAATTTTCCAGAGGAGGAAATAGGCTTAGAGAAAAGTGTCTGGGCCAAAATAATGCACATCCAAAGCGGTGGAGCTGGAATTTGAAGCGAAAGGTCCTGATCCCCAGAACCCATCATCCTTTTACCTGTTTTACCAAGCATTTCAGCAGAAACCTGGCACTTGTACCTCATTGACCATTACTGGCAAGTCTTCTCATTTGTATATATGTGCATTCTTCATGATCCTTTTGAAAGAGATCTTGGTTTAGATAATATTCTTATGTAACTAAAGAATGATTTGTCCATTCTTATGTTTTGTCTTCGATCAACCAATACATGATGAAAAGAATATCTTGATGAAAGGGAGAACTGTGTCATTGCAGAGTGAAATATGGGTGATTCATATCTTAATGAAAGGGAGAGCTGTGTCATTGTAGAGTGAAACACAGGTGATTCATATCTTTGTGCGGACTATCCATGGCATATTTAAAAGCTTAGATCAGCTGCTCTTTCCTTTCCAGCAGGATTCTTTGCTGTCTTCTCAGAGTGTGATGAAATATTCAATTCTTTTAACATTAGCTTGAACAAAACAAAATTGGAGAAATAGCCTGTCATTAAGGCCTTCTATAACCCACCATTGTTAACCATCTTGGATTTTCTGTGTAATATTAGCACATATCAACAATTTTTAATTTAAAATTCTACATGTGTAACTATAAAATCAGAATTTTTCATTTTTGTTAAAGAAATGTGTTTCAAACTCAGCTTCTTGAATGCTTATGGCATGCAGTTTGTTTTGCTGTGAATTGACAAAGGGAATTACTAGAAAAAGAGAAAAAGAGTGCAGAGTTTGCTAAATTCCTTTCCTGGAAAATAGGGAATTGATAGTTGAGAAATGAAAGTGTGTTATAAAGCTCTTATAACACCCACTGGAAAATAATCATTAAATATTAGACAATATGATTGGATTAGGAATGTTTTAGGTAGAATGAAGTCAACCAAGTTCTGTTTTTCTGTGTGGTCTTGAGAAAATCTATGTATTGAAATACTCATGTTAGCCTCCCATTTTCATTAGATATATTTTATAAACATTTTTTGGTCCATTGAGAAAGACCCTTTATAACAGAAGGTTAAAAGGTTAATTTTAGGTCTTTGGTCTATGAACAATTAAAATTTCCCAGGAAGCTTAATCAGACATTAATGTAACACTCAATCAGTCCCCTGAACCTGCTGTGAGTTTCGCCATTACTCCTTATTGATTAGACTGTATTCTTTTTGCTGCTAATGAATTATTTATGGAGGATTCCTTGAGAGTATTCAGGCATTGTGAAGGAAGAAGATAAAAACCCCTTCCTCTGTATAGCTCAGGCCAGGGGTTTGGTGGCTGCTGTGACTGATTGTGAAGGCTCTGTCCCCTGGGTCCCTGTTGTCTTAACTGTCCTGCAGCTTTACAAAGTCTTGAGTTACTGAGAGAAGATACAAAAGGGATTAGATTATGTCTAGCAAACTTGACAGACCTGAGCATTTAGAAAATATTTTCCACATGATTTGTTTATAGAGAGCGGTACAAAGAAATTTAGGTACTGTGCAAAGTATTTAAACTTTTTTTAAAAATAAATTTTTGGCTGGGCGCGGTGACTCATGCCTGTAATCCCAGCACTTTGGGAGGCCGAGGCGGGCGGATCACGAGGTCAGGAGATCGAGACCATCCTGGCTAACACGGTGAAACCCCGTCTCTACTAAAAATACAAAAAATTAGCCGGGCGTGGTGGCGGGAGCCTGCAGTCCCAGCTACTCGGGAGGCTGAGGCAGGAGAATGGTGTGAACCTGGGAGGCGGAGCTTGCAGTGAGCTGAGATCGCGCCACTGCACTCCAGCCTGGGCGACAGAGCGAGACTCCGTCTCAGAAAAAAAATAAATAAATAAATAAATTTTTAAAATAGTTTATAGGAAGAGATGAACTGACCAAAATGCAGTCAGGTTTTTTGTTTTTTGTTTTCAGTTCGGGCTTTATTTTGTTTTAAATCCTAGAAGCTTAGTATTATGAAAACAACTGTTTTAATGCAAATATCTTTCATAAGTAGTGAGCGAATATATACGAAGAGGGTGTCTTGTTCTCACAGTGCAGCACTCGGGGCGGAGTGAGGATGGGACAGAGGAGGACTGTGCACAGCCTCGGTGCTATGTGTAAATTTAGTCCCTTGGCCCTATGCACAGAATGAGGAAAATGAGTAAGACATACATACTATATTTTTATTCAGCTGGATTTAATTATCTTAAGGAATATCTTTTTATCATTAAAGGTATTTTACATTTTTAACAGAAATAAGAAAAAAAATTATGTGTTTGTGTGTGTAATGGGGGATGACATACAAAGCCTAAATGAAATTTGTTCTAAAATTCAGGGTAATAATCTCTGAGAGGAATTTGGAGATTTCCTTTTTTTTTAAATGTGTGCTCCCAAATACCAAAGAGCCATTCCAAAACTCAGTAGTAGAATTATATACAAAATGTAATGGAAATACCTTCTTAGATGACTTTAAAATGGAAAAAGAAATCGGCTTATCCTATAACCCGCTACTTCCGCCCAGGGACTTGCAGAGAAACACCTGTGCGTTCTCAGAACTTGTTTCACTCTGTAGGGTGGAGGGAAAAATCGATCATGATCTAAGGCTGTGGTTGCTGAATTGGGTTATTAGTTGTGCACCATCTACTTTTACCGTCTTTTGATCTGGCCACTATATTTAGGTTGTTATGGTATCCAGTGGGGAGAAAAACAACTTAAACTTTTGCAATTGGGAAACCAAGTGATACTTTAAAAAACTTAATGAACCTTGAAAATTGCTACTCACCGTGTGAGAGTAAAAATGTCGCATCAGGTGGGTAGCAAAGAAAATTGTCTTGATACTTCCTGCATTCTGACAATATTTCTTTGGCAGATAATCATGTATCTTTTACTGAGAGTCTGCTTTGTGCAGATACCCTTATATTGTCCTTGTATGCACTTTGGGGAGATACATAAAGGAGAAATTAATATTAAGATTAAAACATGTGAATCCCATGGACTCAGGTGAGGAGAAATGGCGAGTAACCACTAATAGGTCCAGAGTTTCCTTATGGAGTGATGAAATATTCTGGAATTACATAGTGGTGATGAGTGTACAGTTTTGCAAATATATGAGAAACAACTGAATTGTATACTTTAGAAGCATGAATATTACAGCACGTGACTTATATAACAATTAAAAAAACCCAAATCCAAAATTCTAGTATATGCATGATCAGAAAAACAACAACCCAATTGCTTAGCTCGTAGTCCTTGGACCTGTTGTAAGACTTCTGTTTCTTATCCTCTGCCTACTGTTCCCTGAATGATCTTCCACAGTGACTGATTTAATAGAGTTAAAAACTTTCCGTGAACTCTCATTGCTTTTAGTTAGGTCTGTGCATACAGTTGGGCAGACTGTGCTCTGCAGAAGTCTAAGAAATGTCTTTCTCATTCTGCTTTTTTGGATGAATTCAGACTCATTACATGACATTTAGGACTGTCTGCATCTTAGTTCCAGCCTACCATTCAGCAACTTCATTCATTTATATGCCCACTCATTCACTTATTCATTCATTTTATTTGTATGTTCATTGGTTCCTATGTTGGTTCATTCATTCATTTACTCACTCATTGATTCATTTAACTGTATTCCTTATCTTGCCTACTGGTTGTTATGTTCTCCCTGCCCAGTCTGCAGAGCCCATGCTGTACATTGTCTCAGCCTTTTTCCCACCTTCTTCCTCCAACTCCCAGATATATTCTCAAGGCCCTGCTTCTATCCTGCATTTTTTTGCACCTTTCTTTTGCCATTACAGAGTTGTACTTTTTTTCTTTAAGTGCCCAGTACATAACAAAAGAAGGTTCTATCTCAGATGGGGCAGCATTATTCACAACTGTCTCCGGGCTCCTCCATGAGGTGTCTAAGGTGTCTACCTTTCTTTCAACTTTAAAATCTGAACATGATGGACCTATGCTTTTGGAATTGGGGGTGGGTAGCCAACTAAAAAATGGAGAGCCACTCTTTACCTGGATAGCTAATTTTTATGTTATTGTAGGATAATAACCACAAATCAAGGCACAGCTACCTATTAGAGCTGGCCTGAAAGCTTTAAATTCTGCAGAATGTGTTATATGTGCCATTAACTCCAATCTGTTGGTGCTAATTTGAAATGGTGGTTTGGGAACATGTGCAGTTCCTGGTGTACTTGAAGATTTCAGGACATGAATGACAAACAGTACCAATAACTCTCTGATCTAACAGTGAGAAGTTATCAGCAGGCACTGCCAGATTTGAGAATATTCATCTTTTCTCACATTGTTTTCTTTCTTATTTTGCATAAGTGAATAAAGGATGATTTTGGAAAGCCTTACACTTGATATACATTATACAATCCTAGAGGCCTTTAAAAAACAGGACAGAAAACTTACTTGAATGCTTGAAAGGTAATGGACCAGATTAGAGTTTGAACTAGATGACTCTTAGCAGTTCCTTCTACTTGGATGATGTCATATGCTTCTCTTTTATTTAAAATGTCATTTTGGTTTGTATATTAAAACAATTTTAGCTGTATATTTCTACTCTGTTCATATATAATATGTATACATTATGCATATATAATATGTATACATTGTATACATACACGTATGTGTGTGTGTGTGTGTCTGAGACAATTGCCAGACTCATTTTAATTATGAAGCTTTAAGGTGATTGATATTGGGATCACTTTTGCCTCTGCATCTTAAGCAAATTTATGTTCTTTGCCTAATGACTTCTATATTTGCCAGCATGGACTTATCTTGAGATGACTCAGGAATGTTACTGGAAGTGATAGTTGTTTGGAATAATTTGACGCATGTCCCTAAGATGGCTTACTTTTGCCCCTCTGTCATTTTAGAACATACTTAAGCTGTGCACACTGGGATAGCTTCCAGAAGCTTAAATTTTAGGATTTAATTAGGTCATACAATATTAATTAATAAAAAACTTTTTGAATTGCTTTGTGTTCGCAGGTACTGTGTCTGATGCTCCACATAGAAGGATGAATGGGACCAAAGGTCCTACTCTAAACCATTCACAGAGGAGTAGTGAGACCTATTAGAAAGGATTTGAAACAAAAGCTTTCAGGTAGATGACTGAATCACTGTAGCTCTTCAGCATATTGTAACAGAAAAAGAGCCAGTTTTTGAATTTTTATGAGCATGTTATAGTTTTAAATAATGTGATTTTCCTGAACTGTAATATTGATGTAATTCTAAGTCAGAGAAGCTGTTTTGCATTTCCAGCTCTTCCTGCCTACTTCAGCACTAACCAAGGTACCAAACAGCAGCCTCTTCAGCATATATGCTAAGTTTTTTTTTTTTTTTTAGCTTGACTGGGAACATTTTCTTGGGGATGTAATTTTAGTTTGGTGTGATATGCAAACAAGCACACTTTAAAAATAGATATTATTTAGCATTGAAGTGGAAATTAAAAATGAGTCATTAAAAGCGGCAGGGGGGGGAAGAAAATGTGGTCAATCAATTTCAGTTGCATATAGGTGTAGATGCAAATGGAAAGCTGCATGGTTATTTAACCCTCTAAAAGTCAGAGGGTCTTATGTCTCCTGTTCAGAGATGCTGCTTATATTTAAATAATATGATGGACATTTGGGAATAGACTAGTGGTTCTTAACTTCTTTTGATTCACAGATTCTTTTGAGAAACTGTGGAAAGCTAAGCACATGTATGTACAGATATAAAATTTGCATATTATTTCAATGGATTCATGGATTCTGAAGCATATTCTGCTAGGGGCATATAAATAGTATGTGTTAATTTATGTGATGAAAATCATGGGTATATAATTTAAATTTAGTGTATAAAATTTATAAATTATCTAGATTACTTATGAATCATATACATGATCTAGCTGAATTGAATACATAAGTGTTTATTATAAGGCATTTAATAAACATATATAAAATGCCTTATATAGAAAGCTGCATTTTAAATTATGTTGAAGTGGAGCTTAGGTTGGAATAGACTTTGGGAGTACTATTTATAAAAGAGAATATTTCCAAGTAAGGCTATTCCTCCTGAAATGTCAGTCATAGGCCACTTCTAGAAGAAAAGGTGGGAAAATAAAAACATTTTCTTAATGTAATACAGCAGGTGACAAAGTGAGCTGACATGCTTATGAAGCTAGGTGTAGGCGATGTGATATATAAAGGAAAATTAAAATGTCATCTTATCTGAAGGTTCACTAGTCATTTCCCCGGGCTGTCTTTAGCCTGTGCATGGAAATAGGTTCTTCTGGTCCAGATACAATGCACTTTTAATTAGTTGACCATAACAAGAATACATTTCTTTTGAAGTGCTTTTAGCTTAAAGATGGAAGTGGTTTAATATGGAGTTCTAAAATGAAATGTTAGGGTATAATTTTAATTATATAAATAGTAGCTACAACAGTGTCATTTGCTGGCTCAGCTGTGGCTATTATAAAATAGTGAAATGTTTTCAAGCTTTTTTTTGACAGTAGTTGAGTTCATTGAGCGTGTGTGCATTCAGCTCGCTTGCACATGTGTTCTCCCTCTTTCTCCTTCTTCTTATAAAATAATATAAAAGCTGGCATTTCCTTAAGAAGATGTTTCTCCTGATGCACTTTAATAAAGCCACACCCCTGCTTCCGTTAGTATCAGCCAATCGTGATGACATATATCAAGAAGATAGTTGCTGGTGAGGTAAGCAGTGCAACAGGCCCCTTTGGCCCTTCTTTTCCTGTACATTCTTAACTAAGGAAAACTATATTAAAAACTGAAGGAACAATGAGATACTATCATTAGATAATAAGTTTAACAACACTCAGGTCTTTAGAAGTATTTATTTATTTACTTTTTCAGGTTTTTCATTGAGTAAAGTGTGGAGATTTGTTATGGGAAACATTCTCATCCTTTCCCAACTTGGTGGGAATTGGACCAATAGATGTTTTCAGTAACTTCACGAGCCTGGGAGTGGAATCTTATGATGTTCTGCTTTTCCCTCAGTCATGCCGTGGGTTCATTTAAATGACAAGCTTTGGGAAAGTTATTCAATCAAATGTTCAGTTGTTCAAACTTGAGTTTTGAGAGTTCTTTATATATTCTAGATACTATACTAGATACTATTCAGTTCTTTTGGATGCATACCCATAAATGGGATTGCTGGATAATATGGTAATTATTTTTATGTTTTTTTAAGAAATGCCATACTGTTTTTTGTAGTTTTTATTATAGCACCTTTCATATTTCCACCAGCAGTACCCAAGGGTTTCAGTTTCTCTGCATCCTTGCCGCCATTTCTTCTTTTCTGTTTATTTGATAGTAGCCATCCTAGTGAATGTGAAGTGGCAACCTCATTATGGCTTCAATATGCATTTCCCTAATGACTAATGATGGTGAACATCATTTCATGTGATTGTTGGCAATTTGTAATTCTTCTTTGGAGAAATATCTGTTTGAGTCCTTTCCCCATTTTAAAAATTGGGTTTTTCCTTTTTTGTTGTTGAGTTTTGGAGTTATCCATATATTCTGGATATTATACCCTGACCAGATAAATGATTTGCAAGTATTTTCTCCCATTCTATGGATTGCTTTTTCACAATGTTGATTGTGTTCTTTGATACATAGCAGTTTTAATTTTGATGTAGCCCACTTTTTCTACTTTTACTTTTGTTGCCTGTGTTTTGTATCATACCTGAGTAATCATTGCTCAAGCCAATGCCATGAAGACTTCCTTTATGTTTCTCCTGAGAGTTTTATAGTTTTAGGTCTTTTGTTTAGGTGCTTTAATTTTTGTATATGGTGTAACGTAAGCATCCAACTTCATTCTTTTGCATGTAGATAAACAGTTTTAACAAGAGCATTTGTCAAAAAGACTGTCCTTTCCTCCATTGAATGGTCTTAGCACTCTTGTTAAAGATTATTTGACCATATAGTTTTCTAATCCATGTACATGGATTGTTTTTTTCATAACCCAATTAATTTTTTAAAAACATAAATTCAGAACCTGGAATTTAATCTGGATGAATGTAATCTTGTTTGTTTAGGCCCGTCTTCCAATCTGATGAGTTTCTTGTAAAGCTTTTTTAAATATATAAATTTAATATATACACTACTTCTCCCAATTTTTTGTCATCTCTAAATTTGGTAAGCATGCCTTTTATGATCTCAGCCAAGTCGCCGATGGGCATGTTTAGTAGAATTGTCCCAATTCCAGGACTTAATAACAGCCCATTAGAGATAGTGCTAAAAATTGAATTTCAACATTCATTTTTCAGTCTATACTGTTTGGGTGTGTTGCAAACATAACTGATATCATTCCCCTGTGCTTCTTCATTGTGCTCAGAAGGACATCAAGAATTTCTCATTTAAACATTATAGTCTTTTTCTGACCTTCAGCCTTATAACCATATAAAAAAGGGAAAATATTTAGTTTCATATAAAGTATTTTAATGAAAATGTTCTGTCTTTAATTGGTCATTGTCTTCATATGTGTTCATCATTGTTTAATAACCAGTTCTAGACTTCTCCGGAAATTTATGTCAGACTTTATCATTGCATAAATCATAAAATTGTGGTTCAAACTCACCTTTTTAAAGAAACAATTTGTGTAGTCAGGAGGGGAATATTTCAATAGACAAAAGACAATCAGTAAGAGTTATAGCCGAAATTTATGTTCTGTCTCTCAATGTGCCCCGCACAGTGTTGGGAATGTATAATACATCTCAGATCATTTTGGGTTGACTATGAAGTAACGGAAATGTATATTCTTTCCTTGTTATTATCATGGTAGAGCAGGCATGGTCAGCCTTATGAATAAGAACCTAAGGTTCTTCTAAGTGAAAGTGCAGGCACTCAAAGTCCTGTCTTTGACTCAACATTTCACCCTTATTCCTTCTTACTGATTGACTGATTGGATGTTTACATGATTCATTCATTCTTTCATTTAGCAAACATTTCCTGAGCCACCACCATGTACACAGTGTTTTGTTATAATAATCTGGAATTAAACACGACAAGACCTTTGATCTCACACAATAGAGGGAAATAGGGCAATGGAGGCAACCCCCTATAATACTAATCATGATAAGATAAAATGTATGTGTGTTGGGAATGCAAAGGAAGACATAAGTAATTATGACTGTGAGAACTGGAAATGTCTTCATGGGAAAAGTAGAACATGTGCTGATTTTAAATTTCAGCAGCAGCCAAGTGGAGGGAATGAGGAAGCCACACAAGGAAGGTTCCTGAGCCCATGGAAAGGACTTTATCTGCTTCTAGTCCTTGGAGCATAGAGTGTGTGTAGTGTACAGGACTAGGAGTGTTAAGACGAGGTTTGATTGTGGGGTTGCTTCAGTGCTCTAGTATGAAGTTTGGACGTTATTCTCTATTAAGTAAAGAGCTGTTTAAAGTTTCCAAGTAGGAGAATGAAATGATTATGACGATTTAGAACGATAATTCTTGTTCATGGCATGAAATATAGATTAGAGAGTCAAGACTGGAAGGAAGGAGCCCAACTCTCAAGCCAGTGCAATAGTTCAGGCAGGAGAAAGGAAATACAAAATTGGTCTCTTACAAAAAGGTCAGAACTGTCTGGAGTGCAATGAGTGGCATGTAACTACTGCTTTTAATCCAAACAGCATTTTCTTTTTGTGATTAGGGAGACATTAAAATTCTTTGTTATATAACGAGAATAAAAATTGGATTTTTGAAAACAAAAATGCCCTGTTTTTACTTAAGGTTTCTAGCTTCTTTTTGAATGATAAATATAGGTTGTAATTTTCTTTCACTGATGCAGTTTTTAATTTTAAAAGGGTAGTCACTCTATAAGAATCAGCATGTTTTAGCATAAATGGTCTTCCTGTGAGAGACAGTCAATCTGAGCTACCTGTATTTTAATTTAAATATTTTGGTTTTTGGGAGACATAAAATGGATTCAGGGCTTATAAATGGGAGCTCAAGTGTTTATAACACTGAAAATATGGAGGCCTGGGAACTTCATGAAAAGTTGGACAACCCTAAATGATCTTAGTGATAATTTTGTCTACATATTAAACGTTAAAACTTTCATCCTAAATTGTAGCCTCTCAAGGTGAAGAGTTCCCTCCATTTATGATGGGATGAATTCTATGATGATAGAAAAATTGAACATATAAGTTTTTCTCCTGATGACTTGCTGTGGTCACCTGCCTCTGGGGAACCTGTTTTCTGAGGATATTCTTTCCAATATTGTACTTGCAACTCATTCTGAAATTATGGAATTAGTATTGTTAGTTTCCTCTTCTCTCTGCCTTTAAACAGAAGTAGACATAGCTACAGTTATATATTTGACTTGGCAGAATTTTCAGTTTTCAAAATGCCTGCTATGAAGGGCATGGTAAGGAAGTATTTTTTGCTGTGGGATCATGATTGTTTCTATGCACAAATTTAGTGAGTACACTCTTTGCTTGACTAGCTAACAAGTGCTATGGGCTTATATCCATTTTTCAGTCTTTAAAAAAAAAGAGAAAGAAATGTGTTCAGAACTTTCTCAACTCGATGGGGAAATTATTCATGTTACGTGAACAGACGAGTCCTCTCCATGGCAGCCTCTTTCATGTAACCTCTAGTGAGTTTTTACTTTCCTTATGTGTACAAGCTCTTTATTCAGGTTTGATTAAATGGCAAAACAATAGCTGTGGACTGTCTTGGTTCCCTTTGGGCTACTTTGAATAGTGAACATGCAGCAGAAGATGCCAGGAGTCAAAGGAAATGGCGCTGAATGTCGAAAGGTCAGTCCCTCAAAGATAGTTTCACCAAATGAGAAAATAGAAACTCTCACAAAAAAGCTGAGGTCAACCATGCTTTACTCTATTCTTAATTTCTACTTTTTTTTTTTTTACTGTATTTGATGAATAAATTTCCTTTTACCTCATGTAATGTTTAGGTGTAAATCTTTCATTGTTGTAAAGGTGTTAAGTCAACAATTACCTATTAAAGCTTTCATGACCCCAAAATTGAACTATTCAGAAATACAAGTGCATTAAGACATTATTTTTAAAGGCTTAATTTTTTTTAGAGCAGTTTTAGTTTCATAGCAAAATTGAGAGATTTTGAAGACACAAAGATTCCCCATCTGTCCCCTGCCTGCACCTTGTCTTCCATCTTGCATATTTTTTGAAGGATCGCAATGAACAAGAATGGGATCAACAGTGGGGAGGGCCACACACCTGTAATCCTAGCACGTTTGGAGGCCGAGGTGCGCAGATCGCTGGAGCCCTGGAGTTCGAGACTAGCTTGAGTAACATGGCAAAACCCCGAAAAATACAAAAAAATTAGCAGGGTGTGGTGGTGTGTGCTTGTAGTTCCAGCTACTTGGGAGGCTGAGGTGGGAGGATCACCTGAGCTGGGGAAAGTTGAGGCTGCAGTGAGCTGTGATCGCACCACTGCACTCCAGCCTGGGCAACAGAGTGAGACCCCATCTCAAAGCAAAACAAAACAAAACCAAAAAAGCACACAACACACACACACGCACAATGGAGCTGACTAATCCAGATACTCCTTTCACCCCCTAAAGGGAGAAAAAGAGTATCTGAGCTCTACTGAGTTTCTGTTGTGGCGAGTATGGAACTTTGAAGTCAGACTGCCTGGGCTTGAGGGCCAGCCCCACTGCTCACTGGCTGTACCATGTAGAACAGCTGTTGTACTCTCTCTAAATCCCAGTTTGTTCATCTATGAACTGAGGATTCATAATATTTACCTTGCAGGCTTTTATAATAAAAATTAAATAAGATTTCTATGTAAAGCACTTATCAATGTGCCTGGCCCATAGAAAGCACTCAGTAAATGGTATGTGCTATTGTTCATTCTTTCCACAAATACATACTGGTTAACTTACCCTGTTCCAGACACTTTTCAGCATGCTGGACTGTATAGTGAACAGTTCCTCCCCTCATAGAAATATATTCTAGAGGTAGGAGGCAACTATAACCATAATAAATGAGCAAATTACTTTGTATGCTAGAAACTGGTAAGAGCTATGAAATAAAACTGAACATCGTAATAGAGATGGGGAGGAGGAGTGCAGGAATTGGGGCAACTTGCAGTTTTACATAGAAAGTCACATTAGGCCTCGTGGAGAAGACAACATTTCAACAGTGACTTGGAGGTATTTGATTGTTATTGTTACTACCAAGTAGGATTTTGTTCTACCAAACAGGGCTTTGCTTTACGCCTACATTTCTACCCTTACTGCATTTTGTAAAAGTTGATGATAATAATAAATGCATACTTAATACTAATAATTAAAATAGTAATACTGGAAATTATAATCTATGTTTACACTCATTTTAGCTATATAATCTCCTCTCCTTTTCGTATTTTTCTTTTCTTTTCTTTTCTTTTCTTTTTGAGACAGAGTCTTGCTCTGTCTCCCAGGCTAGAGCACAGGGGCGTGATCGTGGCTCACTGCAACCTCCGCCTCCCAGGTTCAAGTGATTCTCCTGCCTCAGCTTCCTGAGTAGCTGGGATTACAGGCACGCGCTATCATGCCTGGCTAATTTTTGTATTTTTAGTAGAGATGGGGTTTCGTTATGTTGGCTAGGCTGCTCTTGAACTCCTGACCTCAGGTGATCCACCCGCCTCAGCCCCGCAAAGTGCTGAGATTACAGGCGTGATTCACCGCACCCAGCCTCCTTTTCATATTTCACTCATTTCCACTGCAGTGAGTTTAGGGATTAGACCAGTAAGGAAATTAGTTCTTTTTGCTTACAGACAACAGAAATAGAAGAAAACAAACTAGAAATTAGCTCCTTAAAAACAAAATACTAAAACAAAATACAGAATTCTTCTACAGGATTTCTCAACTATCTTTTGTCTACTTTATCCAACTTTCCAATGCAGTATCATCACACTAAAATGCTAGTATTTCTGAAAATACTTGGGCTCATCTTTGTTGAAGTTATTGACAAAAAAGTTCTCACCTTTTCTGTGAATGAGAAATATTGAGGTGTTTATGCAGTCTATGGTTTGGTGCTGCAGTTGACTCAGGTTGGCATGGGAACTGGTGCCTTGTGACCGCTTACAATAACCAAGCATCCTCAAAGAACAGGAAAAGCTGCCCTTTCAGAGTTCTATATGGCATTAATCTGTATTTCTCTCTTCTAATCATGAGCAAATGATATTTTCCTTTACAGAGCTAGCATCACCTTTTGGTACTTTTGCACTTTACCTTCCTGTGTAGATACATTGGAATCCGCTCTCTACGGTTTCTCTGTGCATCCAAAGCAGTGGTTACTAACCCTATTAGATTCAGTGCTGCATCTTTGTAATGTGTTTTGGAATATCCCCTTCATTTCTGAAATGAAATGTATTAATAATATAACTGCCTCTACACATAAATTTAAGTATTAAAATAGTGTTACAATTTTAATATAAAGAAAAGAGAAAGATAGCTTTCAGTGCATTTTATTATGTAAATGCTTACTTGTTGACTATTCCTGGAGATAAAATGATGTCATCAGATGTTTGGACCTACTTGCAATGAATATATTTGGATTAAAGAGGAGTAAAACAACATTCAACTGAGTATTGGCAAAAGCTTTTCTTTCTATTTGAAGCTTTGAAATAAGGAGTAAATAAGTATACACATAAACATACATAGAATCCTATAAATGTAACATCTGTGTATGTAGATTGATGCCTGGTTATTGTGTTGGTGATTGAAATGCCATGAATTGTCGACATGATTTTTCACAATGATGAACAACTCTTGGTACAATTGCAAACAAAACAAAGTATAATTCCTCTTCAATTTACATTTAAGGATGTTGCATTCCTTGATAATTCAGTGACTACTAAACAGTGCAAGAAACACTTGTGTCTGTAAGTAAAATACAGTTAGGCTCTATATTCAAAGAAGTAACAGGATTTTCTCACCTACCGGCAAGTCTGGTGGAACATCTGAAAGACTTGGAGGATACTGGGTAATTATTTGTTATCTAAGGCTGTCCTGTCTAGCAGGCCTGGCTACAGTCTACCACATGCCATTGTGACAATTGAAAATACTGAAAATGGTCCCTAGTACCCCCAGTGAGAACCACTGATCTAAAGCTCCTTTGCAGTGCTCATGCCCAGATGGGGATCCTGTCCAAGCTGCAGTGCTGTGTTGCTCCATGATTTAGCTTGGCACGGCACTGCGCTGTGTGTAAGTAATGCTTCTTAGTGCTCTGGAATTATTCTGCTTGAAGCACTTTCCAGATGGCTGGCTGATAGCTTCTGGGGATACTGAAATGCTGTTCCGATGGTTTCTAACCCTCTAGTCTCTTCCTTCCAATACATCTTATAGATTCCTCAAAGTTTGTTGTGTATAAAATGGATACAGTGGATAGGTAGTTGCCACTCCTTTTTACTACTACTCGAATTACAAATTATGTTTTCTTGGTGGTGATGTTTCATTGATGGACTGATTGCTTGATTGGCTGTTTTCCTCTCTGTCGTTATCTAAGGTTCATAGCCATATTGCCCATATTTGTCTGTTATTCAGGATCCCTCTCACCACTTCTGATCGTCATCACATCCCTCTTGTTTTTGCCATTGCCATTCTTTCTTTTATTCCTCTTAGCTTTACCAAAGGGTCTTTTATTATATGTTACCACTCCATCGAAGTATGTCTTTCCTTCGAGCTCATAAATCGTGGTCCTCAGCTGAACTTTAAAAACTGTTCTATACTCAGTAGATTACTTTTAAAATATTAAATAGCTAAAAATTTTAAATTTTATTTGTTTATTCCTCTTTAGTTTATCTATATCAAAGTGAAGAGGTATCTGAAAGACCTGGTTTCTAGAAATCTCAAGTTTCTTTGTCATAGAAACTTGTCATACATAGTATGGTTACCCCATTTACCACATAGGTACAGTGGGATTTTGTCTGAGGAATTTGAATGTGGCATAACAGGCAATAAAGAGCCAGTGCATATTCTTCAGATAAAATTAACATGATGAAAGTTATATTCTGATGACTTAAATAGTATTCATTATGCAGGGGTTTGTGAAGGGTATGGGATGCAGATTCAACTTCAATATATGAAGTACTAAGGAAGACTATTCACAGTGTTAAATATGCTGCCATCAACATCTTTACCAATGTAGTAAAGTTCCGTAATCATTGAGACATCATAACTCCATAAGGGAAATTCCAGATGTGTGTGTGTGTGTGTGTTTTTTTTTTTTTTTTTGAGACGGAGTCTCGCTCTGTCGCCCAGGCTGGAGTGCAGTGGCGCGATCTCGGCTCACTGCAAGCTCCGCCTCTCGGGTTCACACCATTCTCCTGCCTCAGCCTTCCCAGTAGCTGGGACTACAGGCGCCCGCCACCACGCCCGGCTAATTTTTTTTTGTATTTTTAGTAGAGATGGGGTTTCACCGTGGTCTCAATCTCCTGACCTCATGATCCGCCCAGATTTTGTTTTAAGTAGAAAAGATCACTCTATTACAGTGTCATGGGTGGCCTGGGGTGAGGCCTGTCCAGGCCTCTGTGTATGATCATCAGATACATTCTCAACCAAGATATATTCTAGCTGAAGCCATCACACCTGGTTATTTTCTGTCTTAAATTATGCTGCTTGTGTCCCTCTCCGGCCTTATGTCATCTGCCTTTTATTGTAGTCACTCTTTTACTCATTCATCTATCTCATTAGGTTGGAAAACTGAGGGACAGTCTTAGGCATTTTTTTGCACTTACATTGACTAGCTCAGTGTTTTGCACCTAATAGGTGATGGGTACATGTTAGGAAGTTGGCTCTATTCAAACCTCGCCTTCTTTGTGGACAGCATCTTTGGATTTTATGCAATTTAATTACCTTCAAAGACTTAGTGATTTGGTTGATAAAACCTTAAAAAAAACTCGTACAGCTGTAGTCTTTATTGCTGGAAGTAACTTTTCTTTCTTTCTTTCTTTCTTTTTTTATTCATTCATTCATTCATTTGGAACTTTTTAAATAGTCACTTTGGCCAACTCCACATTTTACAGACTGGGAAACAAACTAGAGAGGTTAAGTGACTTGCCTTAAATCCACAGCCAATTAGTGACAATACTGAGACTAGAACACAGGCTAAAGGTACTTTTTAAAGAGAGTGTTTATCACTTATTAAAACAGTTGCTTTTGCAATAATAGTGATAGGATAATTCATCATTAATTCAACACTTATTGACTTTGTTATACACAAAATATGGTTTAAGCATTGGCAGTGAGGTAAATACGAAGACAACATCTTTTGTGGAAAGGATCTTAAATGGAGAGATTTTAAAATAAAGAAAATGTGGTATATTCGTAGATATAGATATAGTGACAAGGATGACAGACATGACTTGTAAGAGGCGTTGATAGGAAGAAAGGCTGATGGCAGCAGATGCAGGACTAGTCCCATCTTTGGGTGCTAGGGTTGCCATTTCGTTAACGGTTCCTATGTAAAATTGTGCATTTCTCAGGGGAAAAAAAACACAAGAAAAATGGACAGTATGCATCCCTTTGTAATGTTTTAATTAGGCATTTTGGACTTAGCATACTGCCTTATGTAAAACAATACAAGCATGTAATACAATTTTAATAGCTTCAATTTTATTAGGGACAAAAATAAAAAGATGGAACCCAAGGACTGCCACCATTAGGAAAGTCAGTGCAGAATGATTTGTGTGTGTGTGTGTGTGTGTGTGTGTGTGTGTGTGTGTGTGTGTGTGTTTTGAGATGGAGTCTCACTCTGTCTCCCAGGCTGGAGATTGTAGTGGCGTGATCTTGGCTCACTGCAACCTCTGCCTCCCGGGTTCAAGCTATTCTCCTGCCTCAGCTGCCCGAGTAGCTGGGACTACAGGTGCCCACCACCATGCCCAGCTAATTTTTGTACTTTTAGTAGAGATGGGGTTTCACCATTGTTGGTCAGGATGGTCTCGATCTCTTGGCCTCATGATCTGCCCACCTCGGCCTCCCAAAGTGCTGGGATGACAGGCGTGAGCCACCATGCAGGGCCAATGCAGAATGATGTAGGCTGTTGCATCAGATGGCTCTTCCGTTTAGATTATCACCTGCTTGCACCTTGAAGTTCTCTTTAATTTTGGATTGCTTTGAACATATTCAGCTCATTTTTTGAAAGGTGTTCTGGCACTTCCAAATGTCAGATATCTGTGATTTTGAACTTTGTAATTGTTATTCAATTTTCAGTGAGAGAACAGGGTAAAAGAGGATAGTACATTGTAAAGGACAGTCTGTTATCTCCTCTTAATTTTTCTCTTTAGCTCTATAAGGTATTATAGAGAGTGTTTCACGGAAATCAAAGTAAAATCAAAAAACTCAAAGTATGTTTTCCCTTGACAGAAACTTCCTATGAAGAAGTTCTGTGATCCATAGATTTAAAATTGGCCTCTTTTGGGAGCCATTTGATTGGCCTGAAGTTAATCATGGCTACGCCCTTCATTGTGTTTTTCAGTGCAGATGTGAAATTAGTCCCGGAGAGCAGGGGCATGTTTGTTTGGTGTCCTTGGTTAGGACATCAGCTGAGTTCGGCCTGGTCACCATACACAATGTCATCTTACATTTGGTTACTGGGCAATCCAGAGTTCAATGAAAGTGTCCAGCTAAGAGTTAAATGAAACGTGTCCTTTAGTCAAATATGTGATTTGGTCTTTAATTAGTTGGTGCATTTTTGAAAATTACTTGGCAACTAGGGATATTTCATTAGCATGTAATGGGATTAATATTTAGTGAATCATTTTTGAAATACATGACAGATGTTCGGAGCCTTGGTAATTTGCCATATGGTAGCAAGTAGTAGTTTTCAGAATTCTTAGTTCTGTCATATACGAATACACCTTCATAAGGGTGTGTGACTCTGTGTTTGAGAAACAGCACTCTCTTTGTTGCTTAGGCTGGAGTGCAGTGGTGCGACCTTGGCTCTTGGCACACTGCAGCCTCAAACACCTGGGCTCAGGTGATCCTCCTGCCCCCGCCTCCTGAGTAGCTGGGACTACAAGTGTGCATCACCATTGCTGGCTAATTTTTTAAATTTTTTTGTAGAGATGGGATCTTGCCATGTTGCTCAGGCTAGTCTCAAACTCCTGGCCTCAAGAGATTCTCCTGCCTCTGCCTCCCAAAGTGCTGGGATTACAGGCATGAGCTACCTTTCCTGGCCCTGCATTCTTTATAAGTGTGTCTACTTATCTCCAAAGAATATTGGAGATTCTTTTTTTTTTTAATTAGTCTTTTCTTCCTGTTCATTCTGCAAGGGATATTTATATTTGAAATTTTGGAGAATGAGAGTTTTTCCTTTAAAATTGAACTATTTTTGAATACCACTCCAGAGGATGTAGGTGTTGTATTAACTGAAGTTTCATTCTGAACATGGAAAGTTTAATTATCTTGTGATATTTTATTTGATTAGAACTCTGTAGTAATCGCTTTGCTATATTGTGATGCTCTTGTCACAGATGATATGCCCGGTTTCTGTCATTAACGCTGCACTCTTTTCCCTATAATGACATCACTGATTACTCATTTTAGAACCAGTTTCCAGCATATGTTCTTCCTACTTCCTGCAACAGTCATTTTGTAGTTACTGGCCTGGAGGGTAAGTCTTTATCCTTCCATTAGACGGGTTCAGTATGAGCTGCTATTAATTTTAGGACATGAAAGAGAGATAATCAACACTGCTATTTCTCTGGGAATACACTGAAAATTAAATATGTAGACTAAAAACTACACTGTATCTTAAGTCAACTTCTGTTCATTTTAACAGACATTTAGATGAATTTTGGACTCTTTCATTTTTAAAAGATTACAGTTATAATGAACAATAATTAGGAAAGCTTTTTTTTTTTTTTTTTTTTTGCAAAATGGAAGGAATTTCAAAATTCATAGTAATGGTGAAAAGCAAAGAAAAAGAAATAACCCTAAACACAAAACAAAACAAGAAACATGAGAGAGGACCGACCATCAGTTAGCCATGATCTGACTCAGTCTGCAAGACAGGGAATAACTTCCAAATGGTTCTTTGTTGCTACACATTTACTGGGTGGCTTAAAAAAAATACTCATAGAGCAAGAGAAATTATGTATTAGGATAATGTCCTAGTAAAATATTACTTTTGTTTTGTCTTTATATCACAAAATATTTAAAGTTTAGTACATATTAGGGGCTAGAGATTGCAGACACAACATGATGTTCTGTCTTAAAAGCTGTATTCATGTTTTCTAATATTCTTAGACTGTATCCTTCTCAAAGCAAGAAATGTGTTTTATTCGTTTTTGTATCCCCACTGTAGCAACGTGGAATGAACATGAGATTAAAGAAAGCCATCCTTCATGTAGTCATTTTTGTCAACACTGAGAAAATACTGATTGAGCAGGTGGTGTAAGCCAGGCACAGTGCTTAGAGGTGGGGGTACCAGCTTGTGTGATACGTGCTCCCTGCCCTTCTGGATCTCACAGCCTAGCAGGGAAGACAGATGTGTACATAACTAACCCCAAATACATTCAGAGTGTCTGGAAACACACAGGAGGGATGGTTGGGTTGGAGATGATTTCACAGAATAAATCACATTCAAGTTTGGCTGGCCTGTGACCCATAATTTATAAATCAAAATATTGGCCATCTAGCCAATGTCATTATGAGCCACGCATTATGCCAAGTGCTGAAGATACAGAACTGGACACAACATACTCCCTGAACTCAAGAGCCCATTGATTTGTAGAAGACATATACAGATGTTTAGGAATCCAACAAGTAGAAACTGTGAATGGGATGCTGTGGAAGGAGGAGAAAGACTGAAGAGGAGAGCCTCAGTAGGGCCGGAGAAGAGAGGCCCAGCAAAAACTATACGGGAAGCGACCCTTGAGTTTAGGAAGGGGGACTAGGAATTTAGTAGGTCAGTAGAGGGTGGATTAAGGTCTGGTTTCAGGCAGTGAAACCCCTCATCTATGAAAATTTGGAGCATGATAAGTGATGGGGTTCCGGACATGCTACCCCAAAATATGGCATTAGAACAAACAGCAGAAGCAAGAAGGTCGCTCTTATCTTCTACTCATCCTTATCTCCTGAAGCAAGTTATAAATCCTTCATTCCAGAGGCATACTCTCTATACCTGGAGAAGAGACCATCCTTATCCTCAAAGGCAGAGAGATACCAAGAAGAATGTGAACAAACAGGCGTTGCTAAGTTTTCCCCAATTTATTACCATTAGATCATATTCCCATTGTCCAATCACACTTCCCCATAACTCTCTGGTCTTCGTCAGACCTAAGCATAAAAATAGACCAATTTCCCTGCTTCTTTGGGTCTTCATTTCTGAAGGCTCCTGGGTCACTTAAAACCTACATTAAAATAAATTTATATGCTTTTCTCTTGTCAATCTGTCTTTTGTTATAGGGATCTCAGCCACGAACTGATGGGTAAGAAAAGAAACATTTTCCTCTCCTACATAGAGACATAGAGAATAGAATTCTTAAGAAAAATAGTGTATGTCGTACATGGCAGGAGATGAAACTGGCGAGGCAGCAGGGCTTAGAACTTCTGGTAGGTGATAGAGAGTTGTTCAAGAGTGAGTGTTTTAGGCCAGGTGTGGTGGCTTATGCCTGTAATGGCAGCACTTTGGGAGGCAGAGGTGGATGGACCACCTGAGGTCAGGAGTTCGAGATCAGCCTGGCCAACATGGTGAAATCCCGTCTCTACTAACAATATAAAAATTAGCCAGGCATGGTGGCATATGCCTGTAGTCTCAGCTACTCAGGAGGCTGAGGCAGGAGAATCACTTGAACCCTGGAGGTGGAGGTTGCAGTGAGCAGAGATCATGCCCCTACACTCCAGCCTGGTCAGTAAAGTGAGATTCCATCTCAAAAAAAAAAAAAAAAAGAAAGAACAAAAAGAGTGAGTGTTTTAGTTACAGCTTGGACTTAGCTGCAAGACAGAGACCCAACTACAGTGGCAGAAAGATACAACAGTTTATACTCTCAAATAGGAGAAGTCTTGGCTGGGTGTGATGGCTCATGCCTGTAATCCCAGCACTTTAGGAGGCCAAGGTGGAAGGATAGCTTGAGGCCAGGAGTTTGAGACCAACTTCCAAAAATAAAAAAAAAATTTAGCCAAGCATGTTGGCATGCGTTTGTAGTCTTAGCTACTTGGAAAGCTGAGGCGAGAGGATGGCTTTAGCCCTGGATTTTGAGGCTGCAGTGAGCTATGATTGTGCTACTGCTCTCTAGCCTGGGCAACAGAGTGAGACCTTGTCTCTAAAAAAATAATAAAATTAAAAATAAAAATAAATGACGTCTAGAGGGAAGTATTCCAAGTCTAGAGAAGCATCTTTAGAAGGTCCTCAGATGTCAATCTTTCTTTTGGTTGTGCTGCACCTGACTTTCATCCTTAAGGTCCTGCACGGTTCAAGGTGGCTGCTGGAGCTCCAGCCATTACCCCTGCATTGAGAAAGAAAGGCAGAAGAGCCAAAAAAAAAAAAAAAGCACGTGCCTCATACCTTTTAAGTTTAAGTTCTGGTGAAGTTTCATACAACACTTCTCTTTAGCACACATTTTAAAAAAAAATTGGGAGTCTCAAGGAAGAAGGGAGAATGGGTATTTCAGACTAGCTGGCATTTTTCATCACCTGGAGGTGTCTCATCAGATGTTGATTTACAAAGATTTCCCTGGCAGAGGATGGAGGATTTGTTGGAAAGGGTATGAAACCAGCAGAAACGAACACGCCACAGTTTGTGCGTTTAATGTTTCCCATCGCTGACATTCTTGAGTAAGCGTCAGTGATGGTTCTAGCTTGAGGCATTTGGATCATTGGGGTGCAGGTGCACCATATTGCACATAATACCTGCACATGCAACTTCCTGATGGGATTTAATGGAGGCTTCTAGGGTGTCTCTAAGGGTCTTCGGTGCATTTGAGGTGAGGAATGGAGTTGAGTTCTGTCTTCCGTGATTTCAGTATTTGGTGCACTTTCTGCTTGGAAAAATCTCACCTGCTTTAAAAATATTTCCCACTCTTTGAATAACCTTAAAGGTATCATTTATGATGTTTTCTGCTTTGACTTTTTTGGCCTGACATTTGAGTTCTGGAAAAATAAACTAAAAGTCAGCTACTGTTTTTACCTTAAATTTATCCTTTAGTGTGTATTTAAAATAATTATTTGTGAAATTTTTTAGCACTTCAGGTTTATATACCTCGTTGCAGAGAATTTTGCTCAGTATATATTCTGAGCATTTTCGGAATCACTATTGTTTGTGTAGTCCCTTACCTTTAAAAGTTCATTATCAGCATTACACAGTTATTGGTCTTTGCCTCCTAGGACCTATACTGTTTGTACTATGTGTGATGATCGTGATATTGTAACTATTATCTCTTAAGTTCCTAGCAGAAAGAAATTCTGTCACAGAAAGAATATGTAATTTGACCAATGCAAAGAAATAATGTTATTCTACTGTTTTTCGGAAATGAAAGAACCAAGTTTTTAAAGTAGTTATGTTTTTACTATAAAAGATTCTTGGGTTGATAGGCACAGCAAACCACCATGGCACACGTTTACCTACGTAACAAACCTGCACATCCTGCACATGTACCCTGGAACTTGAAATAAAAAAGGTTCTTGAAGTTTCTGGCTGCCTGCATGACATAGTGGGTTTCTAAGTTGAAGGGAGAGAGAGAGAGTGCGCAAGAGCGAGCACTGGGGTCAGGAGTGGGAGGGAAACCTTACCTTGTCATTACTGAGTTTGTATAACCAGACACCTGGATCAGATTTCAGAAAGCACGTGAAATAATTTCAATTGTAATATGAAAATGCTTTTAAAAAATGAGATAATCAGTCATCCTGGATTTGTTTATTCTGCGAAACCTGGCTTCGAGAGGTATTTTTGGCATCTGGGTTGCCTGCCTACTGTGTTTTGTTGAAGCAGAAGGGGGCAGCAGAGAAACCAACTAGAAAGCCCACATCTGTGTTGGTTCCTTCTAACGGAAGGTGCTGTGCAATGTAAATACACTACAAGGAAATGAAAGTGGAAAGTCCTATCTTTTATTTATTAAATTCTAAAAATGATTGCAAAACATTTTCAGATAACATGATTCGGATTTCTACTTGTCCATTTATACAGATACTGCGAAGTGGATATATTTGTGTGTTTTGTTCTAAGATCTGACAAGCAAGTGTAGAGTGGATTATTTGTAATTCAGTACAGCTTTCAGTGGGGCTTGTTTTCCAGTAGACATTCTATGTGTTTATAGAAAAGCAGATGCTCTAGTGGGTTTTTGCAGTTCATTCTAATATTTATAATTTATCCACTGGAGTAAGAGTTTTTAAGGAAAACCATTTCATTTCTTGTTAAAATTCAGGGGAGTTAATGCCTTTTGACTGAATTTTGGTTTTGGAGTCAGTTAGCAGTCTAATTTTTTTGTTTTATTTTTAAAGTATTGCCTGTGAAAATTTTCCCGTTTGTTGAAAGGAACAAGGTTTAAGCTGACTGATTGGTTTCATGCCCTTAACCTTTGAAAATGTGGTAATTAATTAAAGCAATACTATTTTTCTGTAAATGATGGCCAAGTCATGTTGATGGGCCTGGCTAACTAGTTATATGTGCTATGTATGAAAGCTGTTCTATTTCTCATTAATATTCTATATTTCTTTTCCTGTGATTCAGGACAGTAAGATAGCATAGCTGAGGGCTTCTCACTGAAAACCTATCAGGTGTTTTGATGTATTCTATGTTTAAGATAATGGACAAGGTTTAGTGGTTAACAGGAAACTAGTGCCTCTTTTCACTGACTTACAAGTTAAAAGAAGGAGTCATTGAGTTATATGGTATCTTCCTCTGCAGGAGAGCCAGTGAAGATACAGCTGCAGTTCTGTTCCAAATCCATTATGTGTGTTTTATATTTTGATAAATTTAATCTGTTGACTTGTTTCAGCCCCATTTCATAAGATAAGCTGTGAAAGAAACCTCCTCAATGTGATTTACAAAGTGAGAAGTGAAGTGTTAGCTGTACTCTACTGGTTAGGATTTATAGCATGGTACAGTATTTAGCAGAATGTGTGTGTGTGTGTGTGTGTGTGTGTGTGTGTGTGTGTGTGTGTGTCCATCTCAGGGTGCTTGAGGTATAGGATTACAGTTAATTCTTTTTTTCTTTTTTTCTTTTTTAGACAGAGTTTCGCCCTTGTCGCCCAGGCTGGAGCGCAGTGGTATGATCTCGGCTCACTGCAACCTCTGCCTCCCAGGTTCAAGCAATTCTTGTACCTCAGCCTCCCAAGTAGCTTGGGATTACAGGCATGTGCCACCACGCCCAGCTAATTTTTGTATTTTTAGTAGAGATGGGGTTTCACCATGTTGGCCAGGCTGATCTCGAACTCCTGACCTCAGGTGATCTGCCCGCCTTGGCCTCCGGAAGTGCTGGGATTACAGGTGTGAGCCACTACGCCCAGCCATGATTACAATTAATTCTTATTGAAAGTACTCAGTGGCTCATCTATTATCTCTTTCCAGTGCTAGTCATCTCATTCTCTCTCTGTATGGTAGTTGTTATTTGATGAGCACTAGTTGTATAAAAGTAATATGTCTGATTTCTTCAAGAAATGTTTTTCTTTTCTGTCATCAGTGACCTCATCTATGACACTGGGGACAACTGTCCAGTGAAAATGCACTGCCGTCCAGTGAAACCATGCTGCTTTTTCCCTGCACGTGTATTTGTCCTCTTGAAGCTGCGACTTTTGACTGAATGCCAGATGTTGTTATTTTATCTTTTTGGGTACTAGCTATTTTTGTATCCCTCAAATTATTCTTGAGCTTTTTTTCCCCCTGTAACACAGTGAAGTTATTTGGAAACAGTTTTATTTAGTGTGTGTAGGGGAAGGGGTCTTGCTTTTAATCTTTCTTAGGTGGGACCAGAGCAGTATTTAGTGTAGGGCAAGTCACTGAGGCAAGGCTCTTTGGGTCTTCTATTCAATACCCCTTGAACCTTGAGGTTTTCTACTCTGGTTGATGGGAGCAGGCAGTATTCGTGGTCTTATTTGAGCACCTGCTACTGTTACCTCTAACTCTTTCAGCTGGTCCTGTCCCAGCTTCAGGCAGTATGTTCATGTGCATGGGCTGATTAGTACTCCGTGGAATATTTAAGGCTGACCTTCTGCAGATTTGTTGATTTCTCTCCCTGTACACTTCTTTCCTCTCTGGTATTCTGTCCTGTAAACTCTAGCCTTTTTTGGTCTCCCTATACTCTCAACTTTGTCACCTTAACTCAGGGCCTCCTTCAGGCTCCGCCTGGCTTCTACTTGTTGTGAGCGTGACTGGCTAAGGCTGGCTTCACGGGAAGTAAATAATTTACTGAAACAGGTGCGAGTTAAAACCAAGTTTAGGCCGGGTGCGGAGGCTCACGCCTGTAATCCTAGTACTTTGGGAGGCCGAGGTGGGCAGATCACGAGGTCAAGAGATCGAGACCAGCCTGGCCAACATGGTGAAACCCCGTCTCTACTAAAAATACAAAAATGAGCCGGGCGTGGTGGCGGGCGCCTGTAATCCCAAGCTCCTCGGGAAACGGAGGCACAAGATTTGCTTGAACCTGGTAGGCAGAGGTTGCAGTGAGCCGAGATCACACCACAGCACTCCAGCCTGGCGACAGAGTGAAACTTCATCTCGAAACAACAACAACAAAAACGAGAACAAGTTTATTAGCGGGAAGCAATGGCCGGCACAGCAGAGAAGAGGCTGTCTGCCAAGAGGCAGGGGCTGAAAGGAAGTTTTCTAGGGCCATGCTGGAGGGGTTATGTGCAGAGAGGATTGTGCTGCTGGGGTATATGCAGAGCAAGGTATTTGGGAACAGGATGTTGTACAAGCAGGTTGTTTGTGATTAGCTGTCTCTCAGAACAATTGTTCTCCCCCATCGGGGGCTGGCCTCTTCCTTGTTGGTGCTAACTTACCTTGTCAGGACTCCACACCACCTACCTTCATTGTGGTCTGGAAGCTTTCTTAATAAATTGGGGCAGTCCTTTTGTTTATTTCCCAGTCTCTCAGTGATTGCTGCCTTTGTTCAGTATCATGAAAAACCACTGGATGTTGGTGTTACACATGGATGGGAAGGTAAATCCAATTTCCATGATTACATCCTGGCTGGACACGGAAATGTCTCTCTATAAATTCTTAAAACTGTCCCCTGTCAGAGCCCATCTGAAATTAGTGCTTTTCTCTCCTCCTGATAATGGGGTTCTATTAGTGCTGAAAATCTAAGTTGTAGGCTTCACTATGAAAAACTGCACAGCCTCCCCAAGAAATATCATCACCAGTCTGCCTGGTGGTCTTCTCTTTCTTTCGCGGATTCCTAAATAGGTTTACAGGGAGTGCTGAGAGGATCGTCACACTTAGGCCTACTGAGGGTGACTCGGCACAGAATGGGAAGTCTGCAGAAGAGTAGAGTGAGGTGGTCATTTCTCAGCAGATATGTTTATTGTTACCCACACTCTTTTTCTAAAAGATTCGAGGAGTATGAGATATTTATGTATTTATTTCTGAAGTCTGCCTGTGTTCCAGTCATGACCATTCAGATGCTGAGATACAGGATAAGCAGGAAGCAGATGTTTCTGTCCACAGGAACCTCCCTGTCTGTGGGAGAAACAAATGCTGTGTAAATAGAAAGTGATAATACGACGTGATAAACTACGGCTTTCCCATTCAAGGACTTTAGAAGATACTCTCTTTTCCTCCTTGTACCATTTTAACAAAAGCAGCACAGCACTATACCGATGCCTTTTTATACTTTGCGTTACTTGGTGAAAATGAAGTTCTCTATTTTATCTGTCAGCAAACATCTAAGAGCAAAAATTATTTGAAACCTTTGTTCTTACCAAGACTAACTTTATCTTCATGTGGCACATTTTAGTAATTTACCTAGTTTGTAGCCATCTAACTAGAATTTGCTGATTGTTTATGTATTTCTTCAGATTGCTGATAGATTTTATTCTAATAAGCGAAAAGCAATTCTAAGCCTTGATCCTTAAAAGGTATATTTCCCTTGGCAGCAATTCTAGTGGAAACAATGGGTAGTCTCTTTTTATTAAATTTTATTTATTTATTTATTTATTTATTTATTTATTTATTTATTTATTTTTTGAGACAGAGTCTTACTCTGTTGCCCAGGCTGGAGGGCAGTGGCGTGATCTCGGCTCACTGCAAGCTCCGCCTCCTGGGTTCAAGCGATTCTCCTGCCTCAGCCTCCTGAGTATCTGAGATTACAGGCTCATACCACCACACCTGGCTAACTTTTTTGTATTTTTAGTAGAGTTGGGGTTTCACCATGTTGGCCAGGCTGGTCTCGAACTCCTGGCCTCATGATCCGCCTGCCACAGCCTCCCAAAGTGCTGGGATTACAGGCGTGAGCCACTGTGCCCCGCCTAAATTTATTCTATTTGTATGAAATAACTCTAAAAATTTGGTCTTCATTAGTGTTTTTACTTATACTTCAAGATGCTGAATTATTTCTGTGTAAATATATTGGCATTTCTGTTCTATAAGACAGCATTAAATGAAATAGTTTCGTTTCTTTTCCAAGTATATTTTTAAAAGTACATTAGTGTAGCCTATTTTTTATTTTTTTGCTTTGTCTTTTGATAGTGAAACAAAATACTACTATTCTAAGCTTGGGTTTTCAAAATACACATTATTCACGGTGTAAATTCTGCAGTAGCCTTGTATTGTAGCATATGAAGGAGGAAAAATTGGATCCATTTAGCTCTGATCCCTTTTTTGTTAGCAATTTATGTGTATAACCAACAGATTTCTCCTTAAGAAAACCTCATTATTAAGCTAACTTAGGGAAATTTAGTAAAGAAATGATTTGGAGGAAAGCAAATAAAGTAATCCAAATATACAATAATTATACCAAAATTTTAACATCGATTTATAAGAATATCTTACCACTTTTAAATTTCTTCCAAAATTGACAGATACTGATTTTTTTCATTAACTGTCAGTGGAAATCCTATGGGAGACAGCTCAAATTTTGACAGCTTCAAGAAAATGGATGGCTTCTCCTTCTGTGTGGTAATTGATCTTACCTTTTGAAGAATTAGCTCATAAGTATAGATTTGGAGAGAGTTACAATATGCAATACAGCCTTCCTCTTTTGAAAATAAGTCAGTCATTCTGTGAACTGAAGACTTCAGCATGAAGAAGGTTGCTCTGAAGGGCAGAGTATATAATATTATTTGGTTGCGACTTTTGCTAGCTTGGTGGCTCTTGAGAAATCTTTAGTGAACTTGCCAGTTTCATGTTTGTAGGGGGTATGCATCTATCCAGGATAATCATCCCCCATTGAAAAACTAACCTTTTCAAGGTTAAGTATAATGTGAAACAAATAATATTGCTCCAGAATGAATTTCTGTGCAGTTTGTATGAATTAACAGCTGGCTAATAAGAAGCTCTTGAAGTCTATCATAAGCAAGGTCTTGTATTAGCCATAGACTGAGCAGACCTATTGCTGCCTCTACCGTTTACCTCACATGGTGAAGTAGTCTGGGAAAAAGCAGTGTCACTGTTCCACTCCAGATAGCTGTCATTATGGTATTACATAAACTAGCAGACTGCTGTGGGACGCAAAGGGGATGTGCACCGTTTTGGTTATTTGAGGGGACTTTGGCATGCCCTTGTAGGAGCCCAGAAGGAAGGATCATACAGTTTAGTCTTAAGCTGTGCAAAAACATGACCACATGAATGAAACCAGTCTTCCTGAGGCCAGAGGGCTTATAAAGAGGAAAGATACACACCTTGAGTAGACTTCTTTTTGAGCAAGGATATCCAGAAGTAGAGTGTTAAGGCAAAGCAAAAGATTCTTTAGACTGCACTCAAGTCTGTCTTTATAGGCATTTCTTGCTTGTGTAGCATGGAAAGGACCACTGCTTGCTCAGTGTGGCTTTTTTTTCTGCTATGCTGGACCATGTAAGTAGCCATTGAGATAATTTATTCCTGAGTCAAAATAAGAGGGCATTAAATTTAGTAGAACTGAAGTTGGCACTGGCTAGACTGATTACTATGATGGGATCCCTTGGAGAGCATCACTGGTGAAAGCACCTGGATTCTATTTAGAAAAACTTAAGTATGTAAGTTGCCTTCTTTGGGGGATGAAACTTATAATGAACTATTGTAGAGGGTATGAAAGCCCACGGCATGTTTCTATCATATACTATATATATATATGCTATACTAAGATGTTATGCATGGGTCAGGGTCCTTGGTAAGGCTCACCTGTCATTTCTTATGTAGTTTATATTTGTTTCTCTTTGCGCAAGGATTTGGTGAGTTATCTTATGGACAATGAAAGGAGAAATGTCCTAATGCAGAGTTCGCTCCTAAGTTTAAATGAGAAATATCTAAAATCCTAAACCATGAACATGGTTCATGGTTTAGAACCCTTAAAATGGAATTACAGTACTTTTAAATTGGTAGGTGTAAGGAACATGGCTGCACTGCAGCCAGGCAGGATGGGCTGAGGTAAACATCCCGGGTGACTCAGCAAGTCTGTAGCGCAGGCGCGCAACTCCATGTGTAATATAAACAGCTATGTAGCCATAACATGGGAGGGCCATCACTTGGCTCTTTGCCACTGTTGTCTTTAAAAGGTATAATTGCCCTGGTGACACTGTGCAGGCGTGCTTGCACCCAAAGAAAGAGAGAGAGCACCAGATCTGTCTGTCTTGCAGCGGGGAGCCAGGACACAGCTCAGCTTGCTTGCGCTCAGAGGGAAAGAGTTAAGCTGTTGACCCCAAAGGGAGAGAGAGCCAGCAGAGATCTGTGCTTGGGAGTGGCTGGAACAAGCAGCCGAGACACACAGTGTAAGAGAGCTGCTGAATAAAATTGTATTTCACCTACCCGTAGCCCCCTGAGTGTTCTTTCAGCTGTCTGCCATTCATCTACCCACTCCCTTCCGGCCTCAGCATGGGCTGGAACCTGACCCTGGACCTAACAATGGGGATCTTAGGGACTTAAGAGATCATCTAAATGAACTCTTTACAGATGAAGAGACTGAATCCCCAATGGTTAAATGACTTGTCTAAGTCCACACATCTAGTTAGACGCTGAGCCAAGACAGAACCTGATTTCTGGTTTCTAGATGTGCACCCCTTACTCAGTGGCATGTACTGTAATTCACAGTTTCCATTCACTTGTTGCCAAGGTCTGCCACTTCCGAGAGTTTCACAGTTTTGGTGTAAGTGTACATTGCCAAATGAGAAATAGCTTGGAAATATAACTGAAGAGACATTATCTGTTGTGACTGCAGCTGAAGCACCAACTTTTAACCAGTATTAGCACTGCTTATTTCAGCTCCTATCCTTATCTCAAATAATTCTGCCTTCCTATAACACATGATGGGGACCCCTGGGAGCCGCCAAAAAGGACACTTACTCTGAGGTCTTGCCCAGGTCTCTGCTTCTTCCTCCTTGTTCCCAGATGGCAAACGGACATCCTCATAGTAAGACTGGGCTGCTTTCCACCTGCGCAGCCCCATGGTAAGCACCTGCAGCTCCAGAGGGAATTTATTTTAGTAAAACAAACAAACCTGGAGACCAGGAGATCAATTATCAGTAGTTTGGTAATAATTGAAAACTAGGTCAGAGGCTTCTATTCCTTTTTCCATGAGAGCTGGATATGTGAGGTTGTTCTTGATGAAAGCTGAATTTTTAAATGCAGGTTAATGGCTTTCTTGGAAGCCAGCAAGCAATTAAGGTTTTCTCATCCATGCAGAAATTACAGCTGCAGGGGGCAATTTTTAAAAATTCCTTTGGATTCTTAGAACATACTATATTTATTTATTTTCCCTTAAATTCTGACCTTAAGCTTAAAAATAAGTTTGTTAATACTAACGTTGTTTTCCCTTGAGCTAGCTTTGAACCTCAAATGAATTGCAAACTGCGAAGTGACTGCTGTAGGGCTACTCTTCAGTAAGCTGGTCCAGTTATATGGTAATGAATCCATTTATAAAAAAAATTGTATGTGAGCTGTTTCCAAGGCTATTATAGTATTTCTTTATCAGACTATACATAATTTTACGTTTGTAACATGGTACAGTTCCAACTGAATAGGCAGTAATTTTCTTTATTAGAGTTGCATTTTAGAGTGGTTCATTCATCAGATTTTTATCAAATATATTCTTCGTGTCATTCATTGTGATAGGTTCTGGAATATGATTAAGAAATGGTCCCTGAACTCCAGGGGCTCACAGTCTAGGAAGAAAAAAGACAAATAAAATTATACCAATATAATGAATGCAGTTCCATGGCATATGAAGAGTGTTATAGAAACACAGAGCAAAGATGTAACCCTACCTAGTGTCAAAGAAGACTACACAGAAGATGGTGCATTAGAAGGAAGAGAAAGAATTGGCTGCACCAACAGGAGGAGGGGAAAGGACCTTCTGAGAAAGAGAAGAGTGTGTGCAAAGCAGTGGAGGCCTCAGGGAGGATGGTGGTCTGCTAATACTGAGTTTAGTGTGGTTGTCTTTGTCTTACGTTGCTTGCAGGGAATAAAGCTAGTATTTGCTTTGCTAGCTGGACTGAGCTGGGCTATACTAAGTTGTCTGACCTTTATCCCGTACACAACAGGAACTACAGGAGGTTTTCAAGAAAGGGAGTGAAGTCAGATTCATAGTTGAGAAAAACATTCTAGTAACTAAGTGGTGAATAGAATGAAGAATGGGAGCACTGATTGGAAAGCATTTATAATAGACGGTGGAGGGCAAGTTTTAGGAAGCAGGCAGTGATTGTGATGTCAGAATCAATTTGTATGATATTTAAATAGTCCACCCGGAACTCAGTAAAGCAAAGATTGTTGAAGAGGGTGAGCTTGAGAGACTGGATGGATGTTGATAACATTAATTGTGTGAGGGTGTGATCTCTTTGCTGAGATTTTAAGTACGGTAATTTTCTGATGTGATACCTGTATTCATAGCGTAACCTGTGACCCTATTTGGATAGCCCTTATGCCTCTGTATTATGATTGTCAGTCACTTCCCTGAACTATAAACTTCTTGAGGTCAGAGATAAGTTTTAGTGGTTCTTGTTCCACAGCCTCTGACACAGGGCTTAGTTATGTAATAGGTGCTTGGTAGATTTTGGATGTTTAGACGTGGATGCATCAGCCATCTACTTAAGAATTCCTCTTTCGAATTCTTCCTTTGCACAAGAAGACCTTTGTTTCTTAACCCAAAGAAGACGAGCTCTGTAAGTCCGTTATAATTTTCATTTTATGGCCAAGTTTCTCTGGACTTTCATTTTCCAGAAACTACCTATCTTAGATTTTGCTCTTTCCTTAGTGACAACTCAGTAAAGTTCCTATTGTTCAGAGATTACATGATGAAGTAGATATATACATGTGTGTTTTTTCTTCTTTAAGTTTGGCTATTTGAACCTGTGGCTCTGTGGTGTAAACAGTAATTCCTTTCCAGATTTATTTATTTGGAAGTTTTTGGGTCTTTAAAAATTACTCCTGTGTTTCTGGTCTTGAGTTAAATCCACTTATAATTGCCCTAGGGGTTCCCATGGCATCAGCACAGCTGGAGGTCTGGTGGGCTTTTGTAAATGGCATTTGGAAGAGTGATTCATTTGCCAAAGCATTAGCAATCTTTTGTATTGTTTCCATGTGGTTTTTGTCTAAAGAGACAAGTGCTGGGATTTTATTTATTTAATAAACTTTGTTTGAATGAGCTAATTTCCCCACTGTCCAGAATTACTAAGGGAAGACCTGAGCATTTATTTCAAGGACTTATTCTATCCATTCCTTGCTTCAGTGGGGAGCAGTCACTTCTGTAGCCACCAACTACCTGATAGTCTAGTCTTTTCTGTGATTAAATTATAAAAATAATCTCTTTGTGAACTTGTCTGCTTTTGGTATAAGGTCGCATATTTAAAGAGCAATCTGTGATGAGATATGTTGGCTTCATTTTCTGTTTGTTTTCTAAAGAAAGGAAAAATAGATACATTTCCATTTCAAAATTCTTTTTTTTTTTCTTTTTTTGCGATGGAATCTTGCTCTGTCACCCAGGCTGGAGTGCAGTGGCGCAATCTCGGCTCACTGCAAGCTCCGCCTCCCAGGTTCACACCATTCTCCTGCCTCAACCTCCCGAGTAGCTGGGACTACAGGCGCCTGCCACCACGCCTGGCTAATTTTTTGTATTTTTAGTAGAGACGGGGTTTCACCGTGGTCTCGATCTCCTGACCTTGTGATCCGCCCGCCTCAGCCTCCCAAAGTGCTGGGATTACAGGCGTGAGCCACCGTGCCCGGCCTTCAAAATTCTTTTTAAGAGCCTATTATATGCCCAACTCTTGTATTACTTTCTCTTTTTTCACGTTCACACCAACCCTACTTGAGAGCTGTTTTTCTCCTCACTTTGCTGTTGAGAACAGTGTTTCGGAGAGTTTAAGGAATCTATACAAGTCCCTTAGTAGTTCATATCAGAGGTTGTTTTACACCCAGGTTTTCTGTCATAAGACAGAAGCTTTGAAACTGCCTCCATTGTCCCCATGGCTCCACATAGGCCAGAGGGCTTCCAGATGCTGATAACATTGATGAAGAGGGAAGGTCAGAGACTAGACCTCAGTTGGAAGCTGTGGCAGTTGTGCTGTGAAAACCCACCAGAGGGAAGAGACGTTTCAATTCTTCTTTCATAACCACGGAAATCCTAAGTGACTTGTGGCACCTCGGTATATTAGGACTTCTCATTTCAGAAAGTTAATGGTCTTCTCTCCTCTCTGTCAGTGTGATGTATGTAACCACTGATTAGCTGACTCATTTGTTCAGTTGGCAGATACAGAGGCGATCAGTTTACTCGCCTTGCTGTTTAAAAATCATGATAATTTTGCACTCCCTTTGAGAAATGGGTAAGTTCAGAAATCAGTTTTGGGACTATCTTTATTTAACTAAGGCATAAGTGACTGCACCTTCAGCAAATTTAATTCCTGGCTTCAGACTGCAGTAATCTTAAATGAGACATTTTGTTGTATGCTTATAACCTCAGGGATTTTATCTGCTGCCGTCGTGGTCTTTTGAGGAGGATTCTCCTGTTGCAAAGGATGTCTACAATGTAATGAATGGCAAGAAGTATCAGGAGTATTTTGAGTGCTTAAACCCATCCGAGGTTTATTAATTTTCCGGATATGGGTTAACATGGTTCCATGAATAGGCACAAGGCCTAGAGAGTAGGATTAGGAAGGTTTCCAGGGATTCTGAACTCATGTCAAGCAAAACTGGCATGCTGGGCAGCTAAGTCAACTGAATAGGGAAAAGACTTTGAAAGTGCTTTATCTCACTGCATAATGTTTGTCAATTTCATTCAATTAATTTACAGCTGCAGGGCTCATGAGGCTGAAATTAAAGTTTTGTAAAGTTTCGATAAGGAGGCAGCCAAACAAGTTTGATTAGCAGTGGATGTTTTGGAAATGAGTTGGCAGCCATGCAAAAATAGAGGGTTTGAATTTCAGGAGGCACGTTGGCATGGCAGTGCCCATTTGATTAACCGTGGAAAGCCCATTACTTTCCACCTGGCATTTCGGGCATTTCTTTTCTCTGTGTGTCTTCTCTGAGGTAACCTCTAACATTGGAATAAACATCTTTTTAGTTAAGTCTCATCAGCCCATTGTTCTTAGTCTGTTTTATTAGCAATAAATCCGTTGTCTGTGTTATTCTTTCTACAGCCATACAACATGCTCTTTAGTCTTTCTTTCCAAATTGTAGACATTTCAGTAAGGTGTTTCTCCCTCTGCAGGTTGGGGCAGCACAGGGCCTTTCACTTGGAGTTCAGGAGTTGAGTTGTATGAGTTGTGGCTGAAGGGTCACAGACAAGGGGGCACAGCACCTTTTCACATAATATTTAGCAGGCTAGAGTCTGTACAATAACATTGATCATTGTTCATTTTTAGTGCTTTTTTTTTGGTGAAATAAAACATGACCCTAATCCTCAACAGGAAAATTTCATCCTCCTAAACGGGATTTGGTGCTGACAAAGATTCTTTGCTTTTCTAAACTTTAGTCAGGTTCCTGAACTCTGTCCCCACCAGGGCCCATCTGTGCATTTTAGCAAGGACCCTGCTAAGTCAATTTAGCCAGAACCCCAGTCCTTCATATCTGATCAGTCTCAGTGTCTGATCGGCTTCCTCATCCCCCATCGGGTGATGTGTCATCATCTTGGCCTGTCTTTGGCAAGAATCCTGTTAGGATGGTGTGGCCAGAATGTCCTCTTACCTGTGATTTTGCCTCTTAATAATTTTTCATTCACCGACTGCCACCCTCCTCTTTGGCTATAAATTCCCACTTGCCGATGCTGTGTTTGGATTCAGCCTGGGGTCTTGACTGAGATCTCTTTCCCCCTGTTGCTGTAGTCCTGATAAAAAATATTTTCATTGCTCTGCTCTCCAGCTCTGCTTTTCCTTTGACAGTAGCCTATTTAAAAAATGATATAGGAGCAGGAGGGGGAACGCAAGGGTTGGGGAAGGACATAGAGGTGGTTTCAACTGTATCTATAATTTTTTTTTTATCATGGGGAGGAAAGGTCTCAAGCGAATATGGAAGGTAAACATGAGGAAATTGGTTCTGGTACACTGGAGTTTCTTATTTTACTCCCTTTGCTTTTTAAACTGTCTCGCGAAAGGCTTGTGTTATTTTTCCCCCCATTTCCAGTCTGTCCCAGACGAATATCGTCCTATTGCAACATGACCAGCCTGCAGCTCTTGCCCCATGTGTCACTTTTATACACAAGTTCGACAAGACCCGAACCAGCCAGTACCTTCTCCCAGGAGACGAGCCCACTCAGCCTGCATTTTGATGGATCAGCCGTGTCACATTGCTGTAGAAATTTCTAAATACTTATTCTTTTTATTTTGTTTCTTATTTCACAGTGGATCCACAACAGTCTCTGGTGAACAGCATGCTCTGAGTAGCACCGTTCTAGTCTTTGTATACCAGGGATGTTTCACAGTAAATGTTTAAATCATTTTGGACATATTTATGTTTTCAAAGTATTTTATGTTAACTCATTTACCCAGTTCTGCATATTCGCTCTTACAAGTGGGTGATTCTTTTATTCCACAAATTTATCTCCATCTTGGAGCTTTGTTAGGTGCTCCTGAAAATTCAGTGGTAAGACTTGTTCTTGCCTTATCTCAGCCAGTGAATATTCAAAGATGTGTAATTCATAGACTTTTCTTTCAAAGGAGCTCCCATTTTAGAGTGGAGCTAGAACTAATAGTTTGTGTTCCATACCAGGCGTATAAGATAAATGCTACAGAAACCCTGAAAAGAGTCATGATTTGTAATTGGGCAGGTTGAAAGGTTTTATAGAAGAATGGCCCATCTGAACAAGGTTTTCTTCAAGGATGAGTAGGGAGTTTTCAGGGTGACAGAGGGATAAAGTCAAAGGAAAAAAGCATGAGCACAAATGAGGAGAGATGGCACACAGCACCTGCTGAGAAGTGATCAGCAGATGGGTGGGTTCTAGAATGCACCCAGGGAGGTGAGGTTAGAAAGGTAGAATGAAGCAAGACAGTATAAGGCTTTGATTTTCACACTAATAATTTTGAGCTTTTTCTTATTCACATGAGAAGATTTTAAGGCATGATCAGTTTTGGTTAGAGCCCAGGCGCATAAAGAGTGGGTTATGAAAGGGAGAGACTAGAAGGGGAGAGATTAGTTAAGAGGTTGTCAAAACAGTCTAAATAAGAGATGATAACGACCTCAACTATAGCAGTGGCTCTGGGAATTTAGAGGAGGGAATAAATCTGAGGGCTGTCTCAGAGGTGAAAGTGAATGAGTGGGGTTTGGGAAGAGATGGGGGGCCAGGTGAGGAGCACGAGCTTTTTTTTTTTTCTTTTTACATGGACAAACTGAATCACAGGGAGGGACATGTTTTCCTGTGGATGAAGATACAGATAATTTTTGCATCCAAGAGGAGAGAGAAGCATCACTCTCGATAGCCTTAATATTCTGTTCTCAAAATAATCAACATTATTTCAGGAATGAGAGTATAAGAAATAAAATTAAGGACAGTGGGAAAATATAAATTTGTCTTGGGGAATGTGATGGGGCCTTCTGTATTATAACAGCTAGAATCTTGACTGACAGTTTTCTGATATAGACCTTTAGTTCTCATGTTTGAACTCCCTATATTCATTTGTTCATTCTTCAATATTTATTGACAGCTTACCTTGTAAGAATCATTGTATTATGAGTTGTGGATAGAAATACAAGACATAAATCCTGCCCTCAGGTAGCTCACGTTTTAAAGTGGAGGACAGGCACTTAAATACAGCAGTGTGGTTGGAGTGGATAGGCTCACAGGAGCCGTAGCAAAATTAGCAAATCTTGCTGAGAATGTGGGGCCATGAATGTCAGTGAAGGAGAATAGTTTTTGTTTTTTGTTTTGATAGAGACAGGGTCCCCTTCTGTTACCCAGGCTGGGGTGCACTTGTATGATCATAGCTCACTGCTGCTTTAAACACTTGGGTTTAATACCACCTCAGCCTCCGGAGTAGGTAGGATTATTATTATTATTATTTTTTTTTTTTTTGAGAGCCAAGGTCTCACTTTGTTGGCCAGGCCAGTCTCCAACTCATGGCCTCAAGCAATCCTCCTGCCTCAGCCTCCCAAAGCACTGGGATTACAGGTGTGAGCCACCATGCCTGGCCTAGAATACTGTTAGGAGATGAGAACGTGCTAGCCGGTGAAAACAAGAGAGACATTCCAAGAAGGGACTGTAGGGTTTAGAGGAAGAGATGGCTGGGGCCAGATTCTCAGAGGCTGGGTTCTATATGGCATGTGAGAATTTGTGGTTGAGTGAGAAAGAGAGGAACAGCGATTAAAGGGTTTACCCTTTAATGGAGAAGTAAGCAACCAAATGGAGTTTCAGTGGGATTGTGCTGGCCATTATGGAGAAGGGGATCTGAGATGTAGAGAAGAAGGGAGACACCTGAGAGACGGTGCAGTGGTTCAGGTGAGAAATATTTGGAATCTGAACTAGAGCAGCAATATTGGGGACAGACTAAAGAGTTAATAAATAGAAAGTAAAATTGGTAGGACATCGAGGTGGATTCAAGTCAGAAAGTAGGAGAGAGGCAAGGAGTTCGAGGTGACACAGGTTCAAGCTTGAGCTACGTACATAGTGGAAGCATTGCTAAGAGCCTGTGCGTGCTGGGAAGAAGGATGATGAGTTCAGCTCCAGAAACCATATGAGGTGCCTGGAGATCTTTAGCAGGCAGTTATGTACTCAGATGCAAAGGTCTGTGGAGAAATTAAAGCCGGATAGAACTTTGGGAATCATCAGCATTTAGGAATAGATTGTTAAAATGGATAATGGAGGTATTTACGTAGGCCGAACAAAGAGAATTTCAAACACCTGCATCCTGTTTAATTCTTCAGTTTAAATTTACCAACAAACATAAAAGGTAGGAGATTGGGCTGCTTTCAGGGCATTGAGCTCAAAAGACAGAAAGAGGCAATTTATGTGTCACTTAATGTTTATCTTACGCTTGCCTACCGGGAAGAGTGAAAAGATGTTAAAGAAAAAGAGGGAATCTTTTCATTCCTTGAACTGTTGTGTTGAATAAATTTTAAAGAAAAAGAAGCAAAATGAAATAACTTGAGAACAAGAACCTAACCGCATATGAACATAATTTACATGCCATAAAATACCATTTTCAATGTACAATTAAATGATTTTTATAAAATTTACATAAGCCATATTTTTTAAAGTATTAAAAGACAGTTATGAGCTAAGCTTTTAAGTACAGTGATGATTGAGAGTGTGATAAAAATACTGCAGGTAGCATTTAATTAGGGAAATTCCTGCCAGTTGAAAGATGTGGATGGGGATTGGCAGAGATTGAAGGAACAGCCATTTTGTGCCAGACACTCTGCTGGAAGAGGAGCAGATAAACGGGCGAGTCTGGGAGCATTTTAAGCAGCATTTAAAGGATAATAAGGTCCTGTCTTCACTAAGCCATTGACATGAATGTGATACTTTTATATTTGTTTCTGTTTTCTGACTTTAGCCCTAGGAAAATAAAGGGTCATACTAGCATTGCAGTTATTTTCTCACATAAAAAATTATATTTGGCTGCTTCTAATTGGAAGTATCTATTTTAAGCTCAACTAACCCTAACATCTCAGGTAACTGTGGACAGAACTTCACATATTATAAGCGTCTTACTCTGTAAAAAAAAAAAAAAAAAAAAAAAAAAAAACAAAAAACCCCTAAAAATACATATTACTAGTGATGTATTCATTTAAACAAGCTATGACGATTTATCTAGTTTCTGGAAGATACTGAAACTTGATCATTTCTTTGCTGCAGTGACCTACAGCATAAGTTAAATGGTAGTTTTAGTTGATTATGCTTTATTTTATTTTGTTTTTTAAGTCAAAGCCTGTTTTTCTCCATGATAATATCCTCCTCATGGTAAGACTGCATGGACAAGAAGTTGCATAGAGAATAGAGTGTTCGTGGGATCTTTCTATAACTTGTAAGCAAAGGAGGCTTTGGGTTTGCTGTGGATCGTCCTCTGGAGAGTCGCATTCATTTTCTCAGAGGAGCTCTGTCCCAGGATGCTCAGGAATATAAAAAATAAAAGTGCAAAAGGAAAGAGGACGTGGCAGAGCCGACCTTTTCCAACTCTGAGGGTGAATATCTTCTGTCTTGGGAGGATGGTGACAAGCTTGGACTTGGAACCAGAACCCTGGTCTCTTGAGCCATGTTTGTCCAGTCCTGAGCGTCAGCAAGCAGTCAGGGAGGAGGGAAAGCAAGGGTTGCAGGCAGATCTGTGGAAAAAGTGAGCTTTGGTATGAGTTGACATAGGCATTGCCTGTTGGTGTGGTAATTGCCCAGTGGAGACGTCCACAGGCCTTGGAGTGACTCCTGAGTGGGGCCATCTGACTCGTCATGCTGCCAGGCAGCGGCAGGTCACAGTTGACATGTTTTCCCATTTCTTCACTACCTACCTGGCTTTTCCACAAAAATGAACTCCCTTTTAATCATCATTTCTGCAGTCTATTTAGAGAGTATGAAAAGCTTATACTAATCTAAAATAAACTTTTTTTTGTTTTAATGCGTTGAAGTCTTGCTCTGTCACCAGGCTAGAGTGCAATGGCGCAACCATAGCTCACCACGGCCTTGAACTCCTGGGCTCAAGGGATCCTCTTACCTCAGCCTCCAAAGTAGCTGGGACTACCAGCATGAGCCATCATGCCTGTCTTCCCAATCTATGTATTAGTGCCAGTAAAACAATTAAGAAGAGTGAATATATTAGATAAATATATCCTAGCACATTCCGAAGATGAATAGAATTTATTATGATTTTAAATCGCCCACTCCAGTTTTTCCTTTGGCACGGAGAACTGAAAGCTGCATATCAGTGCTGGGCTGTCCATAAATACTTACTAGTCATTGTACTGTTAACAGTTATTTAATGATTTAATCAGAAAAGACTGGCTTTGGATTTCTGATGAGGTAATGAGAATTGGCATTTAACCAGTTAATTGGAATTGGAAAGAGCTATTAAAAGGCCATGAGAAGGTCTTTCATGAAACCCTTGAATATGCTTCAGTCTGAAGATCTTATTAAATTATGCCAAGGGTGTTTTTTTTCCCTTTCACTTTAAATCACCCGTTAGGATCATCTCATCAGCTTCCTGAATGTTGCTGCAGATGAAATTATTATTGACATCATAATGTTGGAATTTTAATTTTTTCTCTCCAGTTGTCAGTGAATCCAGTGTTCAACAATCACTAGTTTTTCTTAGCCCCATTGGGACCAAACCCAAACTAGTCTTAAATTTTATTTGCACCTTTTTGGGTTTGAAGCTTGATTGTTCGGGATATTGGTGACAGTGCTAGGACTCAGTGTCAGTCATTGTTCCATTGCCTATTGAGGACATAGTTCTACTTCTTTTGGACAGACAGCCTTGCTTTATTCAAGCGTCCCATGGAAATCAGTTTGTTGCCACAGAGAAGCAGATGGGTAGATAGAATGGTCAAATTTTGCTGTCCCTTCACTAATAACTTAGAGAACTGTTTATTCACAGCCGGCCATGAAACAAAGTAAATGTTTGTTTCAAAATACGTATCAAATTGAATATTATTCTGAAGAAACAACTTGCCCGATAGGCCCGACACAAACTGGCTATTACCATTTATTTTCAACTTATCAGTCTGATACAACCAAAGAGATTAAATCTGATAGTTGAAAACTATTGTAGGTCTCTAGCATTATTTAAAGATGGAGACTGGTTAGAAGAGGTTGGCTGGAAAAGGGTGGGAGAAAAGCAAAATAGGAAATGTTTTGTTCCTTTTATGACCAAAAATTCTACTATTCCCAGAGATAGCCTAGAAGTAGTTTGGCAAATGACATTTTAGTTATTTTTGGAGCTGCTTTTCAATATTTTAACATGTGTTTATGTGTAAGCCTGAAAGGATTACAAATGTGTGTGTGTGAGTGTATATACATGTACATATAACTACACATATCTTTCTTTATATAATAATTATGTTTTTGAAAAGTTGAGTATAATAAAATACTTACAATCTAAATACCATTTTAATAGGACAAGGGAAGCTGACTTTCTAAATACAATGTCACATTCTAAGTGATGAACATAATTTTGTTAATGTAAAATTTAGAACAGTATAGATAAAGTGTGTCACTCAGCCTCAAAAAAGTTCTAAGATTTTGTCATCTTCATACATTTATTTTGTAAATGAAATAAAATATTCCAGGGAAATTTGAAAAAAGATTTTTTAAAAATTAAATAATAGCTCCTTGTTTATTGGCTTTAAATATTTAAACATTCAAATTGTAGCCTTTTTCTAAATGCACAAAATACAAAATATTTTCTCCTAAAGTCCATGAATGGTGCCTTTTGGCCTCTCTGAACCCTCTTCACACAGCAGGATTTCGAACGTGTGCTGGACACCAGGAAACTCATGTCATTCCCGCAGGGCTTTGGATTTAGGACTTTCTTAGATTGACAGGGACCGAATATTTGAAATAAACTATTGACATGCAAGAGGCAGATTAATGTGAAGGTTAGTAGTTTTGGAGCTAATTCCATCATCTTTCTTGTTCTTGATTTGCATGTGTGCATTGAATTATGTTGTCTTTTTGGGTGCGGGTATAGATATAGTTTTACCCAATTGATCATTAACTTTTTTGAGGGCATCTATTTGTATCTTGTTTATCTTGATGGAAATAAAATATAAAAATCAGTTTAGTGGTAATTTTTAAATAATTAGACACAGGAAGGAAGAACAGGGTTGCAACAAAAACACTACGACAAAACTAAGGATGGTGGAAAAGCAAGAAGGTAAATTTAATGTAGACGGGTGTCTGTAAAATATAATTGAAACTAAACTTCTGACACCACATAATTTTAATCACAGAAATATACTTGGGAAGGAAATAAATTCTCAAAGAAAACCAACTAGATTTAAGATTGTCACTAAGGAAGGCTGATGCAGGTGCCACACAAAGTGATTTAGGTCTAGGGCCCCGGACACTCCTCTACATCATATTGATATGATAGGTAGCAGGTAGATATCCAAGTCTGAGTTGGTCACGAAGCAGAAGGTATTGTGTGACTTCTCAGGCAGTGGTACAGCCCTCTCGGTGAAAGTACTGGTTGGAAACTGGGGTGGGATTGTGGGGGTTGGAAATTAAAGGTTGGAACAAAGGAATGAGAGGTTTTGGACAGGTCTATCTGAGAACTCTGGAGTACTACAGAGCTTTTGCTTTTCCAGCTAACTCTGACCAAGCCAATATAGTTCGTATACGCATATTGGCAACCACTGGTGACCTTTATTACATGGAAAACATTTTGGCCTGGGAAAGATGGGTAGGCTCTCTCTCCTGGAACCTTGTCTGAGCTGGAACCATCTCGGCATCCTGCTGCTTGCCACATACTTCTGACTTTGCTATCCCTTCAGACGGTTGAATTCACCCAGAGTGAGGCATAGAACAGGGAATCAGCATAGTTTGTAACCCCCTCCCTATTTATTGTTTTCTTAATGTGTGCCAAGCACTGACCTCCTCAGGCTTGGTGCAAGTTAAGGAAACAATAAATGTAAAGGGAATGGATTGCTGTGAAGTCTGTTCCTGGGGAGAAAACATGAGATCAGAATGACGTTTCTTTGTCTGAACAACTATATTTTTCACGTGTTTTGTGCATTTTCCAAATATTTAAGAATCCAAGAAATACTTTGTAATGAAAGAATTTTTAATGACCCTATGCAGAAACTGTAAATTGCATGTCTATGTTGTGAGTTTCTTACTGGATTATAGATTACTGGATTATGTAGGAGAAAATGGAATGAGCACCTACAAATCAACAACTTGGATAAATAATATCTAGAAACTAGCAGGGACTCATCATTTCATTGTCTTTGGTAAGATGGACAGATCATTTGGTGGTTGTTGCACATGTCTTTTCCCATAAACTGTACTTGTTGTCACGTAACTGGAATTAGAGTTACAATGATAACCATTTGTTACAATGATAAACATTTGTTACAATCATAACCATTTGCAAGAACCGTGAATCCTTTTATTCAACAAAAGTTAGTTCTGGTATCTTTTTCATATACATTGCCTGAGGCTCAGAATTGCAATGTATTCTAGTTAGGTCTTTGTGTTTAGGCTCCCAAGTACCCGTATTAATCAGAACATCTAAAAAGCATTCCCATAAGTACAATGGACTGAGATTGCCAGGTGTCTGATGTAGTGCAAAGATTATTGCTGTTTAAAAGATTTTGACCTCAGAGCTTCATTCTTCCCATCGTCATAATTTTCTGAGCGCTGAGGCATTGCAGATCTTGTCTTTCTGTTTATTCAGCTATACTTTTTGCCAGCAAAGAGGCCTGAACAAGTAGGTAATGAGACTGTCTACACAGAGGTTCTGCGAGCCCACAGCTGCCCACTGGCAAGACCCGTTTAGGATTAATATTTCAGATCATCTATTCTGCTTGCTCTGAGATTGATGCGCAAGACACAAAGCAACCTCTAGACACTTCAGCTAAGAATAGGTATTAAGCGTGAATGCATTTGCATATTTGGTGGCAACCTATTCTACATTCTTCCTTAACATTTTTTTCTTGTTTATTAAACAGAGGATGCTTTTGCTTACCTCTCAACTGCAGAAAAGGTACTGTTTGATATATATCGGTTTTATTTACTCTGTTCTCACAGAATTGCACGTGTGCTGTTCATGGGGGAAATATTTTATGTAATTTCCAATAAATATTGAAGAAAATACTATAATCATGGCTTGATAGAAGGTGTCTTTGTATGGATATTTCAAGGGAGTTTTAGTAATGGCCCTGCTCTATGAAAAATAGGAGTTGAAGTTGATGTTCAGGCCATTTCTCCTTTATTTACTGTTCTTGTATTTTTTTGACACAGGGTCTTGCCTGTTGCTTAGGCTGGGGTGTAATGACATAATCACGGATCCCTGCAGCCTCAAGCTCCTGAGCTCAGGCGATGCTCCTGCCTTGGCTTCCTGAGTAGCTGGGACTGTGGCACGTGCCGCCATGCTAGGCTTAGTTTTGAGTTTTTGTACAGACAGAGTCTCACTGTGTTGCTCGGGCTGCTTTTCTCCTTTGAAAGAAAGCAGCTGGGTTTAAGGCCTGGTTATGGCTTGATTGATTTGACTGGTGTTTTTGATGTCAGCCTGCCCTTTCCTTGTGTCTTTTACTGGTTAACTCCCACAGATGCATCAGTCCCAAGCTCAGATGTCCAGGTTTTGTGCAGTCTTCTTTGAATCCTTTAGACATGATTTGTCTTCCTAATCTGTGCTCCCAAAGAAGCTTGTCTGCACCTTATCGTTGCATATTACATTTGCGTGCTGACTCCTCTGCTGTGTTGTTTGCCCCTGTGTGCACTCACTTCTGCCCTTGGAGTGCCTAGCACATTATCTGGCATACAGTATAAGTTCGATAAGTTATTTGTTAAATTAATGATTGAGTAGCTATGAAGAGATACGAAATGGCCATGGGCTCCTTCCCCTTTCTCCTGGACAGTCTTAACTCCTGTTTCGAATTGTTTTGCTTCCTGTGAAGGAAAGAAGTATGAAGTTGTATTTGTGCTAGCCACCCGCAAGCCCATGGTGTGGGGAGAGACAGACAAACACATTCCAGTGCTGGGCATCATTGATGCGATGATATGTGCACGGGGCTTTGGAAGCCCAGAAGAGGAGCCTGCAGTTCAGCTGAGGGGACCAGAGAAGGCTGTTTGAAGAAGATGGTGCCCGAGCAGAAGAGGATCAAGACGTCACTGGGAGGGGCAGAGGGTCTAATAGAGATACCAATGCGGGGCTTGCCGTAAACACTCAGGGCCACAGAAGAGGAAAGTCCGCCATGGAGGGAGGGAATGGCAAGGAGGCAAACTGGAGAGAGGCTCCGAGATACGCTCAGCAGATTTAGATGCAGGTTAGATATGAAAAGTGGGAACTGTGATGTGTGTTAGGTTTGTTATGATACTGATTTCTGGTATTTCTGGAGGGACATTAGCCGTGAAGAAATGAAGTATGGCTCATGTGATATGTCACTTTAAAATCCTGAGGGACAGCCAGGAGTGATCCTGTGCGTTTTGCTATAGAAAAAGCAGTGGCTCTGGACCTTTGTGTATCTGCCTGGGCATTGAACGGCAATTCTTTGACCTTGTTACAACCCAGAGGGCTTTAAAAGTCTGGAAAGTTATGGACTGTTGGTGGCGAGGCGGGGGACATGCTCTCTGGAAGATCAGTCTGAGAGAGCCCCAAGTATCCAGATACACTAAGTCATAATGATACAAAACTTAAATCCTGTAGTCTTTCACAGCAGGCGGAAGTGCAAGGACTGGGCTTATGGTTCAGTCCTCTCTTCTAAGTTTAAGAAAGTTACTTAACCTATCAGAGCCCTCCTAGGGTAGTATACTGCTGGGTAGACTGCTGTGTTTCCCACACGGAGTTGGTGTGTGGATTAAAGGACGCAGTGTATGGAAAGTCCCCGGCACAGGACCTGGCACATGAGGTACCTTTCCCTGTCTTTGTTAGTTTCAGTGTAACATTATCACCAGCCCTCATGGTAGTGTTTTTTCCTTTGATTAGAAATAACATGAATATCACAAACACTGCATCATCTTGGTGGTCTCCCGCAGGCAGCTGCCCCCATGACAGCGGCTGGAGTAGTCCTTGTAGTGAGAATACAGCTGTGTTCCTAGGACATGTTCGGCCCCACCTCCCTTATGGCCAAGTGGGTTTTTGGTAGTTAGACACAGCTCTGCCCCTGTCCGCATAGGGGATATATGCAGGATAGTGAAACACACGCTACACCGACTTCTAGTAAACCAGGAATTTGTATGGGCTGTGTGGTTCTGTTTCTAAAAAAGTATTTGGCGGGTAAGAAGGGGACTGCCAATGAATGGGATTGTTTTTATATATTAAATGTATCCAAATATGCACAGAACCCTTTGTTACCATTTTAAAATTTTATCTTCTGCTAATAGAATTTCTATTGGAATTAAAAAAAAATAAACTGAAAAATTATTACTCTGAGGTTTTGTTATCAAGTTTTAGGAACTTAAATCATTTTCAATTTATTAGTTTTATTGATACATAATAATTGTACGTAATAATTATATTTTTGTACCCATTAAGTAAGCTCTCTTCATCCCCCACTACTGTTCGCAGCCGCTGATAACCACCCCTCTACTCTCTACCTCAAATTGTTTTAGCTCCCACATGTGAGTGAGAACATAACATATTTGCCTTTCTGTGCCTGGATTATTTCACTTAACATAATGTCCTCCAGGCTTATCCATGTTGCTGCAAATGACAGGACTTTATTCTTTTTTATGGCTGAGTAATATTCCACCACACATATATGCATTATATTTTCTTTATGCATTTATCTGTTGATGGGCACAGGTTGGTTACGTATCTTGACTGTTGTGAATAGTGCTGTGATAAACATGAGAGTGCAGGTATCTCTTTGAGGCACTGAGTTCCTTTCTTTTGGATACATACCCACCTGTGAGATTGCTGGGTCACGTGGTAGTTCTAGTTTTAGTTTTTCACTGAACATTCATAATGTTTTCTTTTGCATAACAGCTCAACTAATTTACATTCTCACCAACAGGATATGAGAGTTCCCCCTTCTCTACATCCTTGCAAGCATCTGTTCTTTTTCGTCTTTTTTAAAATGGCCATTTTAACTGGGGTGAGATGATATCTCATTATGGTTTTGATTTGCATTTCATAATGATTAATGATGTTGAGAATTTTTTCATATATGTGTTGGGCATTTGTCTTCTGAAAAATGTCTATTCAGTTTATTCAGTTAATTTGCCCATTTTTTGTTTTTTTTTTCCTGCTTTTGGTGGTTTTTTTGCTATTGAGTTGAGTTCCTTATATAGTCTCATTATTAATCACTTGTCAGATGGAGAGTTTGCAAATATCTTCTCCCATTCTGTCTCTTTACTCTGTTGATTGTTTTGTTTGCTATGCAAAAGCTTTTTAGCTTGATATAATCTCATTTGTCTATTTTTGGTTTTGTTACCTGTGCTTTTGTGGTCTTCTCAAAAGACATCTTTGCCGGGCCAATACCCTGAAGCATTTCTCCAATGTTTTCTTCTAGTAGCTTCATAGCTTTGGGTTGTACATTTGTCCTTGATCCATTTTGATTGGATTTTTGTATGTGGTGAGAGGTGGGGTCTACTTGCATTCTTCTATATATGGATATCCAGTTTTCTCAGCACCGTTTATTGATGAGGGTGTCCTTACCCCAATGTATGTTCTTGGTGCCTTTGTCAAAAATGGGTTGACCGTAAATGTGCAGATTTGTTTTTGGATTCTCTGTTCTATTCCACTGGCCTATTTGCCAGTTTTTATGAGAAGCGTGACATTTTTTAATGTACAGGATGGTTTTCCAAGAATGGAAATAGGTTTATTTCTAGTTCTCCTGTGGTTTCCTCTTTTCTGATGGGTCTTGGGTAATTTCGAACAGCAATTTAAATTTGCACTGTGCATGTAAGAATTTTGAAATCATTTCAGCATTTTTTCCTCACTTCTTTGGAAAAAATAAGCACTTAAAATGACCCTCAGCCTGAAAAAGTAAGATTATGCCTTATAATTAATCAGATTTTATCAAAAGTGAAGTATAATACCACATACATGGCCTTTAGTCTAAATTGACTTTTTTCTTAAAGTAAGATTTGAATGGATAACAGAATCTTATATAATATTTATTAGTAAAAGCTACATATACTTTTTAAAAAAAAATTGTGTTAAATGACTAGAGGACATATCCAGATTTCTGTGTCTATGATTATTAACAGTTTTGTTGGTGATCAGCAGTGATAATGTGGTTAAGACACCTATTTTCTTGTCTGTTTTGAATTCATGCCCAATAGAAAGGCTATAGGTATTATTAAACGTTTATATAAAAAACCTTTGAGTTTAAAGTTGAAAGTAGCATTGGAAACACAAAGTTGATATTCCTGATGCAGAGTTAGCACCATGCTAATCACTCATACCTGTCGGCACTATATTTAGCTCATTGAGCTCACATATTTCCAAGAACTACTAGGATTTCAAGTGAAGCTTCAGTCATACACAGACATTGTCTAAACCACGCAAGTATGTGTTTAAAAGAACTGCCTGTCAGTGTGCAGTGGTAATGCCAGAGCACAAATCAATAGCATATTCTCCTTGACCACTGGAGAACACCACAGCCAAATTTAAAGCACATTTTCCCTGGATGAGTCCAGAACCGACTTCAGTTCTTTTTTTTTTTTTTTTGTGCTGAGGTTTAATAGGCAGAAGAATAAAGAAAACCAGCTCTCTCTCTATAGAGAGGGGTCTTCCGAGTGGAAAAGACAGGAGGTATGGTGGGTGCAGACAGGAAAGGAGGAAACTACATAGGAAAGTTGGAATCCTGTTGCCCACAACCCATCCAGCGGTGGAGGCTGGGGTCAGTCCAGGAGGGTTTGGGTAATACTGGGCGGTAGCCCCAGCCAGAAATCCTCAGTTGCTCCAGAACCTCTTCCAGCTTCAAGCGATGGCTAAGTCCTTCATGAAAGGAAGCTTGTTCACACGTGGCCAACATGCCCAGCAACCCATGGGTGCTGGGAGATTCTCCATGTTTTCCCCAGTACGCCTGGCATCCCAGTCTTTGAACAGCAGCCGTGCTAACCGCGTTTCTAACTGGCTGACGGATGCCTGTTACTGATTTGATATGGTTCTAACATTTAGGCCGAGAGCCTTGAAATGAAAGGGCAGAGTTGGAGTCCGTTCCTCTGCTCACCATTTCGGTGACTGCTGTACCTTGGTTTCCCCGACGAGGTTCCCAGTATGAAGTGGCTACGTTGTCTGGGGTACGTACCTGGGCTTCGTCATTTCGCGTCAGCAAAATTTAGGACATGAACACACAAGAGGAGTTTAGAAGCGGAGTTAAGAGGCAAAAGAAAAGAGAAAGAGCCGGGTGTGGTAGCTCATGCCTGTAATCCCAGCGCTTTGGGAGGCGGAGGGCGGGTGTATCCTGAGGTCAGGAGTTCGAGACCAGCCTGACCAACATAGCAAAACCCCATCTCTACTAAAAATACAAAAATTAGCCAGATGTGGTGGGGCACGCCCATGATCCCAGCTACTCAGGAGGCTGAGGCAGGAGAACCACTTGAACCTGGGAGATGGGGGTTGCAGCAGACAGAGATCCAGCCACTGCATTCCATCCTGGGTGATAGAGCTAGACTCCATCTAAAAAAAAAAAAAAGAGAGAGAGAAAGAAAAACAGCTCTCTCTCTTTCTCTATAGAGAGAGGAGTCTTCCAAGTGGAGAAGACCCAATTTCAGTTCTTGGTGGAGATCAGGATTTTGTTCAAACAGAAGATGGTGTTCTCTCTGTTTCTTCCATGCCCATTTAATGACCAACGTTCAGCTGTCACTGAAGGGCTAAAAGAGAGAAGCTCTTATATGTGATTATTTTGACTTAATTTTTCTGGAACTGGTTTCTTTCTCTGTTAGGACATACTGGGTGCTTATGCAAGGATTATGTATGTTGGACAGTTTGGCCATTCATATATACCTTTGTAGAATTTTTCTGTATCTTTTCTTTTGTACTCTAGTATTTTAATATATTTTGTCATTTTGCAATTTAAGCCTGGGTCTGAGACAGTTTCACCTTATTCTTAATAATGCTAGATAATTCCATATCCACTAATAGAAAGAAAGGGAATTTGTGATGGTGACTGCTTTGGTACCAAGAGGACAGAGGGAGAAAAAGAACAGAGAAAAACTGACTGGATTCTTCTAGTGCCAGCCAGTGGAAAATGGAAAGAAAATTTCTCCATACCCACATTTCCCCCAAATCTCCCTTGTAAAAACACCCCTCCCCCAGAAAAAAAAAAAAAAAGCAAACTACCAATTTCAGACATAGGTTTTAAATGCAGCATCATGAAAACTGAGCAATTTGGAGGGCGAGAAAACATGTGAGTGGCTGGCATTTGGGGTAGGAACAGCCGGTAAAGGTCTAAAAGTTTTGTCTACTCATCTCCTGTTCATACCATCATGAGATAAAGGGGCAGTTTTCTACCCGAGACTTTTGGTTGAGTAGTTGAAAACTTGTTTTCATGGTGTGCAAAAGAAATATAACATGAAAATCTGGATCAAGTGAAATAGAAATATTTTTAGAAACCAAAATCTTCAACAAGCTTCTGTGAAGGTTTGTGAAGATTCATATGTTCCTTTCTCACGGTCTTAAAGGAGCAACTGAAGTGATTTCAGGAATCTAAGCTATTCTGGCTCGAAATAGGGATGGGTTGGATATGCACCTTTCCCAAAATAATTCACTGCATCTAAAATTTATAATTAAAATAGTTCTTAGGAAATATAATAACATGAAGTGCTACTCATGGACATGGAAAATGTAACTCATGCCTAATGTTTTGGTTATAGGAGAAAGAATGTTCCAGGGAAATGTCATCTTTATGTATTGAATTTTCTAAAAGTAGGGTCGAGTGGCTGGGCTTAGTGGCTCACACATGTAATCCCAGCGCTTTGGGAGGCTGAGGCGGGAGGATTACTTGAGCCCAGGAGTTTGAGACCAGCCTGGGCAACATGGTGAGACCCCATCTCTACAAAAAAGTACAAAAATTAGCTGGGCATGGTGGTGCATGCCTGTGGTCCCAGGTACTTGGGAGGTTGAGGTAGGAGGATCTCTTGAACCCAGGAGGCCACAGTGAGCCGTGTTTACGCCACTGCACTCCAGCCTGAGTGACAGTGCAGTACCCTGTCTCAAAAAATAAAAGATCATCTCAAATAAATATAAGGTCAAGTAATTACCTACACAATAATCAATGAATTCAAAGCCTCTGAAACTAAAAATGTAGCTAAAACTTTTCTGGATATAAAATATATATGTGTGTGTATGTACACATAAATTTCATAAAGATAAAAACATTTGCCATCTTCCTATACAAATTATAAGCTGTCTGAAATTATTAGAAGGGGATGTAATATAGGAAGTGTATTGTGACAAAGCTAATTTTTCAAACTTTTGGGGATATTGTACTGAAAACAAAAATAAGCACTAATCAATGTCCTCAGACTTACCTCTAGGATAAAATAAAATTTTAGTTGGACTACTTCATGGAATTTCCCTCATTACTCTTAACTTTTTTTTTTCTTTGAGACGGAGTCTCGCCCTGTCGCCCAGGCTGGAGTGCAGTGGCATGATCTCGGCTCACTGCAAGCTCCGCCTCCTGGGTTCACGCCATTCTCCTGCCTCAGCCTCCCGAGTAGCTGGGACTACAGGCGCCTGTCACCACGCCCGGCTAATTTTTTTGTATTTTTAGTAGAGACGGGGTTTCACCGTGTTAGCCAGGATGGTCTCGATCTCCTGACCTCATGATCCGCCCGCCTCAGCCTCCCAAAGTGCTGGGATTACAGGCGTGATTACTCTTAACTTTTAAGCCGGGAGAAATGGGAAATTGAGAACTCCTGAATAGAGAGAGAGAGAAAGAAAGAGAAAGAAGGAGAGAGGGAGAGAGAGAGAGAAAGAGAGAGAGAGTGTGTGTGTGTCCTTGTTTTGATGCGCTTTTACCTGGGTTACCTTTCCGTGACAGTTCTGAGCTTTGTCACATGGGTGTTTCCTGCTCATAAGTGCATGGCGCTCGCTGTAGATAGGGACAGTCTACACTGGAGGTTTCAGAAGTTAAACCAATTCATGAGTCAAAGGGGCTCACAGAGGACGAAGAGCATCTCATTTATTCTAAACAAGTGATTGCTCTTTTTTTTCCTTATTAGTGAGATGTATGTTTTTTCAATAAAAGCTTAGTTAGAAAGTCATTGTGCAACTAGATAAAAATAATAATTTTCTATGTTTACATATAAAGATTTGCTTGCTATGATGTAGTTGGTTAGAGTTGGGAGGCGGTTTGGTTAACAGTTGGAGTACTGAGGACGGGTTTCAGTCCGCGTAAGTCTTCATGTAGAATCTAGAGGGGGCCTTGTCAGTGGTGCTTTATCTAAAGCCGTAATGACAGCAGTGTTGGAATTCTGCTTTGCAAATTGTGTTTGTTTTACTTGTTGAAAGTTAAAATCAAGACACAGAATCAGTGCAGTCATGCCGTTATTGCACGTAGAGTTGCTATGTTGGTAGGCTAAAGTGTTTTGGACAGAACACATTATTTGTTTAGAAAAAAGTTTCATAGATACCACGGAAAACAACTAACTGAACTTGTTTTTCCTTGTAGCTTTTTTTGTGTGAGCCTCTGAGATTTTTTTTCCTTGCCTTTGCTTTCCGACTATTTGAACAGGAAAAGAACAACTAATGGTCTGGAGGAGAAATCAAGGACACTTTTTAAAATTTACTCATTCAGCAGATATTGACTAACTGATGAGTACCAAATGTGCTAGAACCCAGGGTTCTAGAGATGATTAAGGAAGTCAACGGTCTTGGCTTCATGGAACTTATGTCTAGTAGGGAAGAAAGATGTTGGTCTAGTGATAAAAAGTAGCAAGAGATGCTTATTCCCTCTATAATAAGAATAACAGGAAGGATCTAGAAATAGGCTCATGGGTTTGTAGCTATAAGGGCAAGAATTTGAAAACTCTTCTGGCCAAAAGCTCTACTTATTCTGAATCATGGGGGGAGCTTTCATCTGCAAGGAACTGCCAGATAGAGGAGCTTTGGTGGCACATACACACCATGGAATACTATGCAGCCATAAAAATGAATGAGATCATGCCCTTTGCATGGACATGGATGGAGCTGGAAGCCATTATCCTCAGCAAACTAACGCAGAGACAGAAAACCAAACACCGCATGTTCTCACTCATAAGTGGGAGCTGAACGGTGAAAACACATGGACACAGGGAGGGGAACAACACACACTGGGCCTGTCGGAAGGGCGAGGGGAGGGAGAGCATCAGGAAAAATTGCTAATGTGTGTTGGGCTTAATACCTAGGTGATGGATTGATAGGTACAGCAAACCACCATGGCACACATTTACCTACATAACAAACCTGCAGGTCCCGCACATGTATCCCAGAACTTAAAATAAAAATAAAAATTAAAAAAATTAAAAAAAAAGAAAATTTGGCATTTTAGGTGTCATATGGTAGCAACTAGATATTGATTTCCCTTCTCTCTCTCTGAGGCTTTTTTGTTGTTGTTGTCATTTGCTTGTTTAGTGACTTGATTAAACTATTTTACTGAAATCTAAAAATAAAAATAAAAAGCATCAAGTACTTAGTAATAAATCTAATAAGTGAAGTGTAGAAAAAAAAAAAAAGAAAATATATCCGTAGCCTCTAGTAGATAGGAGCAAATGAAAACTGAAGGTCTTCTCACCTGCAAGCACAGTCCCAGGCAGTGTGTTGTAATAAAAGCAAGTCTCAGACTGACTCATGCACAGATACAAACATTTATTAGGCAGGCGCAAAAACTGTCACACCAGTTGTTCTATAAATTTATCACAGAAAGATTCACTTGAAGCAGGTGAAACAGTGCGTTAGCTTCGGAATTCAGCTAACCTAGTAGCAGTTCGCTGACAAAAATCCATACAGGGTCCATCCTAGTATTAAGCCTAGGGGGCCTTTAAGAAAGGTATGCTGTGGTGGGGTGTCCATATAATTTGTGGTCCAAAGCAGAATGCTTTGAGAACCAAAGAGGGCATTCTTAATAATTATGTTGGGATAAGAAATGTAAACTGGGACTGTAACAGGCAAATTGCAACCTATGGTAATTCTAGTCATTCGGCATGCTAGATTCTTGTACATTGTTCAAGCAAAGGCAAAAGGAAATAAACTAATTATTCTTTTTCTACTGTTTTTAGCCATCCACATATCTTAAACACCCCTTGTTTCACCAAGGAAAAATATTTTTATCTATAATGCAAATTATCAAATCCTTTAAGGTTGATCAGAAACAAAGATATTTGAAAATGTTTTGTAGCAAAGGGGAGGAAAAGTATCTTTCCTGCTACTTATTTTGGGTAGCTGGGACCCCCTCTAATAAAATTTATTTTATTAGAAATTTATTCAAGTTTTATGTGACATGGGAGACTTCATAAGGAAATGAAGACCCGAAGAAGCAGTTAAACGTGAGCTTGTTTCATAGTAGGTTTGATGAAGAGTGGAGAGTCTTAGAGAAATGTGATAGGACAAAGCGGGGGATGAGCTGAATGTTATAAACTGGAGGATGCTTAGTAAGACCTATTTGTTCAGGTCTCTATGTCACTGCATGTTTGGAGATAAGGATGCCCCTTTCTTCTGGGTATAGGGAGGGCACCTCACACATTAGGGTCCTTTGACCTGCTTCGGGGAAGGTCATAAAACGTAGGAAAGATTTTATAACCTTTTTCAGGGGAGAAGGGGAGGGGGAAGGTCTGTTTTCTCAAATCCTTCAGCTTAAAATATCTAATATGCCAAAGTACCATATTTTGGGGTAGGATGTCTTGGACCCCATCAGTAGCTACCTCTGGCATTGTGGCAGATGGTCACCATGTGTCAGATGATAAACATCCACCTCTGGATTAATTCCTCATTAGGGTACTTCAGATGTTAACTAATACCATTAGGGTGTGAGTGGAAACTAACCCAGATACACATAAATCACACTGGAAATACTTCTATATTGAAGTGTTTAAAATTTACTATAGATAGTGTAACACTTTCTTTGCTGGAGATAAAATTTATGTTGTTAAAAGAGAAAATGCAATATTCTTTAGGATGTACAGCTTTAAAGCTGCATTAGGAGTAAAACACAGGAGGTACATGCAGCATTTAGTGATCATTTCTGCTCTTTTCTGTAGTCTTCTAGGTACTCTAATCACAAAATGTTAATGCGCATCTTTAGGGGTAAAATAATGTGCTCTAAAGAATATGGTAGTCACTGATAATTTGTAATTATTTACTAGATTTTTTGTTACTAAATAATTCAATGGTATGACTATAGTATCAGTAATCAGCCTGCTGAAGAATGAATAATGCAATCAATTTACATTCTTTTGTTGCCATTGATAGACCAGTAACAGCTTACCTTTCCTATATTCTGTAGGCATCTAAGAAGAAAATATACCAAAACTTTAAGATATCAAAATATATTTTTCAGAGGTAAAACAATGACCCTCGTAAATACATAGTAAGTGCGTGTCATAAATTTATTTGCCTGATGAATGAGGGAATCAACATAATGGTGATGCTGATTCCCAGAAAATTCCACAGATAAATTATATATAGGCACTGATAGAATGCTAGAATAAGATTGTAAGATCAGTAAATTGGGCTGGGTGCAGTGGCCTGTAACCCTAGCAGTTTGAGAGGCTGAGACAAGAGGATCACTTGAACCCAGGAGTTGAAGACCAGCCTGGGCAACATGTCAAAACTCCATCTCTACAAAAAATACAAAAAATAGCTGGGCATGATGGTGCATGCCTGTAGTCCCAGCTACTTGGGAGGCTGAGGTGGAAGGATCGTTTGAGCCCAGAATGTTGAGACTGCAGTGGGCTGTGATCATGCCACTGCACTGTAGCCTCAGCCTGGGTGACAGAGTGAGCTCTTGTCTCCAGAAAAGAAAAAAGAAAAAAAAAAAAAAAAAGGAATTGTCAGTTGGTTAATGTCTTACAGGGCAATAAAACTGTTGTCTTTGGGGCTATCTTTCTATCACACAAAAATCATTTACATCCTTTTGGACAAAAATCTGCAAGTTAATATGTTACTTAGCAGTCCTTATGCTGATAGATAATAAGTAGTAAGCCAAACAATACTACAGTATTAAAAAAAAATCCTTGGGTGGGCCTGTTTAGACTGTGGTCCAATATTTAAAAGAATATAAAGGTAACCTTTTGACATATTTTCAAATTTTTCATAATTTTTACTAATAAAGTCTTTCATTTCGTTTGGTTTCGGTTTATAATGAGTTATATGATTCTTGAGCAAATACAAATTGTGACCTTTATGTGTGTATTGTGTGGGTTTTTTGTTTGTTTGGACCAGAATCCCCCTTACTTGGGACTCAGTAAGGGAAAGGGCTCATAGTTTTGACTTACCTGAATTGTAGGTGAGATTAGCTGTGTTATTGTTTAGGAACTTTTATTCTGTGTGAAGGGAACTGTAGTCACCCAACTGGCTCTTCCTGTCTGCTGCACAGACAAAACTGAAGGGGTGGCCTGCCCCTCCACACTTGTGGGCGTTTCTTGTTGGGTGGAACGAGAGACTTGAGAAAAGAAAGATACACAGAGACAAAGTATAGAGAAGGAAAAGTGGGCGCAGGGGACCCGCGCCGGCACCAGCCTCTGAGTTCCCTCAGTATTTATCGATCATTATCGGGCATTTCTGGGAGAGCGGGATGTGGCAGGACAATAGGGTAATAGTGGGGAGAGGGTCTGCAGGAAAACATGTGAACAAATGTCTCTGCATCATAAACAAGTTAGAGAAAAAAGTGCTGTGCTTTTGATGTGCATATACATAAACATCTCAATGCCTTAAAGAGCAGTATTGCTGCCCGCATGTCCCACCTCCAGCCCTAAGGCGGTTTTCCCCTGTCTCAGTAGATGGAATATACAATCGGGTTTTACACGGAGACATTCCATTGCCCAGGGACGAGCAGGAGACAGATGCCTTCCTCTTATCTCAACTGCAAAGAGGCATTCCTTCCTCTTTTACTAATCCTCCTCAGCACAGACCCTTTACGGGTGTCGGGCTGGGGGACGGTCAGGTCTTTCCCTTCCCAGGAGGCCATATTTCAGACTGTCACATGGGGAGAAACCTTGGACAATACCTGGCTTTCGTAGGCAGAGGTCCCTGCAGCCTTCCGCAGTGTTTGTGCCCCTGGGTACTTGAGATTAGGGAGTGGTGATGACTCTTAAGGAGCATGCTGCCTTCAAGCATCTGTTTAACAAAGCACATCTTGCACCGCCCTTAATCCATTTAACCCTGAGTTGACACAGCACATGTTTCAGGGAGCACAGGGTTGGGGGTAAGGTCACAGATTAACAGCATCCCAAGGCAGAAGAATTTTTCTTAGTACAGAACAAAATGGAGTCTCTTATGTCTACTTCTCTCTACATAGACACAGTAACAGTCTGATCTCTCTTTCTTTTCCCCACACAAAACCATTTCGCCAAGCCCACGATATTGCAGTAAAGAAAGAGTTTAATTAATGCAGAGCTAGCCAAGTGGAAAGACTGGAGTTATTACTCAAACCAGTCTCACCAAGAACTCAGAAGCTGGGGTTTTTATGGACAGTTTGGCGGGCAAGGGGCTAGGGAATGTGTGCTGCTGATTGGTTGTGGATAAAATCATAGGAGGGTAGGAAACGGTCCTGCTATGCTGAGTATGCCTCTGGGCGGGGGCCATGGGACCAACTGAGTCATAAGTCACAGGTCCAGGGGGGTGAGTTGGTTGCCAGCATGCTAACGTCTGAAAAACGTTTCGAAAGACCAATCTTAGGTACTACAATAGTAATGTTATCTGTAGGAGCAATTGAGGAAGTCACAAATCTTGTGACCTCTGGCCACATGACTCCTGAGCAGTAAGGGATTATAGAAACTACGCCTACATTTTAACAAATTGCAGGCCCCTCCCATAACCCTAATCTTATGGCCTTTCATTAGTTTTACAAAAGCGGCTCTGGTCCCTGAGCAAAGAGGGGTTTAGTTTTAGGGAGGGACTATGACCATCCTTCCTGTCTCCCATGGTTAGCTTGGCCTGTGCCTAGGAATGAGCAAGGGCAGCCAGCCTGTGAGACTAGAAGCAAGATAAAGTTAGTCACGCCAGATTCCTCTCACCGTCATGATCTTGGCAAACGTGGTTTCAGAACTCCTCAAATATCCAGGAGCTCGATTTGGCCTTTAGGCTAACTTGAAAGAAATAAATACTTCTATTTTAAATTCTTTCTTTAAAAAAGTTTTTTTGTAGAGATGAGGTCTTGGAGTGTTAATCCAGGCCTCAAGCAATCATTCTCCCTTGGCATCCCAAAGTGCCAGGATTACAGGTATGAGCTACATTGCTCAGGTTATTTTAAATTTTTTCTAGCAGGAGGAGAGATGTATTCAATCCTGAGCTGGTACACTAGTAATTAAAAAAAATAGAAGCTAGGGGCTGGGTGCAGTGGCTCATGCCTGTAATCCCAGCACTTTCAGAGGCCAAGGCAGGCAGGTCACTTGAGGGCAGGAGTTTGAGACCAGCCTGGCCAACATGGCGAAACTTTGTCTCTACTAAAAATGCAACAAATTAGCCAGGTGACATGGTGCAGGCCTGTAGTGTCAGCTGCTCAGGAGGCTGAGGCATGAGAATTGCTTGAGCTTGGGAGGCAGGGGTTGTGGTGAGCAAAGATCACACCACTGCACTCCAGTATGGGTGACAGAGTGAGACTCTGTCTCAAAAAAAAGAAAAAAAGAAAAACTAGAAACAAACAACAACAAAAAGTCTTCCGTTTCTATATTTGAGCAGTCTCACAGTTTGTAAACACAAGCACAGAGTCTCCTTTTGAAGCTTCTATTTAGATACCACAGAGTGAAAACAGGATGCCTGCTTAAACACAGAGAAGTCTTTCAGCTCTTAGGTTTTAGGTTTTGACTTAGGGATTTAGATTTTGACTTTAGATTTTGAAGGTAACCACACTCTTCCCAGAGCGAATCAATGGACGCTATGTAAATCTTTCCTTCCTCAACGCTAAGGTCATAGGAGTTAAATTTGTCTCACATTTTCCTTTCAGTGGGTTGCATTGTTTGATAGTTTATGATAATCAAACAAAGTGGTAACTTATCTGTATTGGTGATGGACTTCTTTCAGAAGGGCTTTGCTTTTGATTACACACACTAATTATCCTTATGAAAATATACATGCATTCCATAAACGAGCTGTTTTGTTATCCAAGCCTTGATTCTTTCGTCCATTCTTAGCTACTGTTGACTACCTAGTGTTGTTAACCATTGTTGTAGATATTGGGGAGACAGCAGTTAACAACACAGATAAAAAATTTCTGCCTTTATAGAGTTCGCATTCTAGAGGGGGGAGATAGATAATACACTAAGATAAATCAAATATTAAGCTTTTCTGTGTATTTTATATCAAAAAGGTATACTGAACTTGGACACTAAGGTGTAGTAAGGATTTCCTCCTTTGTATGGTAAAAGAAGAGTCCTTGGTAATCTTTCTTTTTACAATAATAATAGTTCTTTTTTCTCCTAGAGTCTCCCGTTTTCTTAAAGAACTTTACCCACACAAGCAAGGTTGCCCTAGGACAGTGGTTCCCAACCTTTCTGGCACCAGGAACCAGTTTCGTGGAAGACAGTTTTTCATGGATGGGGCGGTGAGGAGGGGATGGATGGTTTTAGGATGAAACTGTTCCACCTCAGATCATCAGGCATTAGTTAGAGTCTCATAAGGAGCACACAACCTAGATCCCTCACATGCCCAGTTCACAATAGGGTTCACGCCCTCATGAGAATCGAATGCTGCCACTTTTCTGAGCTCCAGTGGTCATGCCTGCTCACCCTCCATGAGAATCCAGTGCTGCCACTGCTCTGAGCTCCGGTGGTCATGCCTGCTCACCCGCCACTCGCCTCCTGCCGTGTGACCCAGTTCCTAACAGGCCATGGACCAGTACCAGTCCGCAGCCCTGGGGACCCCTGCCCTAGGAGACTGACTTACGAGTTCATGAAGAAAGTAAAAAATAAATTTAGGGATCCTAAATAAAGGATATATATAGGATAAATAAAGTCGAGTTTTGGTGTAGAGCCCTGATGTTCCAAATTGTCCCAAAGGGTTGAAAAATTAAAGCCTTCTCTTCTTCACACAGATTGAAATTTTCCTTACTTAATCTTATCTGCCGTTAGGTTACCTCTCCAATTCTTTTTTCAATTATTTGGGCATTAAACTGCTCTATCGTGAGTTATTAGAGATCACTTTCTATGGCTGACAAATGTCATTTAAAATTAATACCAACATTTATGATTTCTGTGTGAAATGTTTATTCTTTCATGAGATAGGTTTCATATCCTTGTTCTCTTGTTAACATCCCCTACTTTGTTTTTAGTTGTGGGGTTTTTGTTTTATTTTGTTTTTGCATTGGAGACCACAGTTTGCAATAAGGCTATGCACTAAGCCTCATTGATTTCCTCTAAGCTCTTGTTTATTGAGCACTTCATATGTGCCTTGAATTCTGTGAGTGACAGACAGTCGGGGGATGATGATATACAAGGCGCAGTTTTTGTTTCCCATGAGTGTGAACTATGCGGAAACTTACACGAGTTTTACTTACCCATGTACAACAATTAGAGAAAAATAAAAAATACAGTGCAGTCTAGTTGGGAAGTTTGGATGGGAAACAAGTTAGACTTTAAATTTATCATATTTCTAATTCACACCACCAAGTAATAAATACATCAATCTTCATTATGTGATGGGAAAAAAGTAGAGTCAGAGTTCTTTTCAAAATTCCTTAAATTGTTCAGAAGTACAAACAATATTTTACTTTTTTGCTAGAAGCCAGAAAAATCCTTACAATCATTCAGACATTCTTTTAACGTGTATGTCCTATTTCAGACTTTATCAGCTTCATTGGGATGAAGGATTCCCAGTGAAGCTGTACATATGATGTGAATCTGCTCTGTGCCATCTAGTTCCAAAATGCGTGGTGTACTCTGGCACACCTAAGACAAAAGAAGCCTATTGGCCAGAATGATCACATTGGCTGCTCTGCCTATGGAGAAGCCATTTATTCCTTTACTTTCTTAATAAAGTTGCTTTCACTTTACTCTAAAAAAAAAAAAAGAATGATGAGAGAAGGTTTTGTAGACATCTTATTTGTTTACTGTCTATCTTCTGCTAAACTATAACCTCCATAAAAATGAGACATTCTTCTGTCTGATGATGTATCTCTGGTACCTGGAACCATGGTAGATACTTGGTGCTCAGTAAATAATTGTTTAATGACTGTTTAGAGGAAACCTATAGATCATCGTTGACTTTTCCCTCTCCCTTATCTTTACATTCAGTCAGTCAATACATCTGGTTAGTTCTGCTTCCTGTTCTCTTTTAGCTAGGTGTTTTTCTTCAGCCACACTGCCAGTCCCTTAATTGAGGCCACCATTATATGGGTCGCTGAATCAACCTCTTAATGGCTTCTGTGCTTGCAGTTGTGGAAGTACCCTTCCTTCAGTCACTTCTACAGAAAGTGAATTGAACTATTCTTCTTCGACTCTCCATTGCCTCCTAATAAAGTCTAAACTTCTTGACCTTGAAAGATGGATGGACTTCACATCCTCGCAGGAGGAGATGGTCTAGATAGGCAGAAGACGGCTGAAGAAGCAGAAGTGGAACAAGAAGGCCGGTCATTTCAAAGTTACTTTTTCATAGAAGATTAAAACAGAAGAAGCCTTCCTTATCACGGTGCCTAAAAGTGGCCTGGTTGGGGATTAGACTATTATCTCTCTCCTACTTTCTCAGGTTAAACAAGTTGGTTTCAGTTTGGAACTTTAGTCTCAATAACTCCATGTTGGCTTCGTGTCTCGGGGCCTAGTGTAGGAGCTTAGTCCAAATCAATGACCTCCCATAAATTCTATTTAATGCTTTTTCTCCTTAAGTCTTCTAAGAGTGAAACTGGGATAACAATAGCCCAATAAGGAGTGTTTGGGGCAGGGGAGAAATTTTTGAATGCTTCAGATAAAAGTTGTCTGACATTTTACAGTAAGAGCACTTATATTATTTCAAATTTTAAAAAGTGTATGTGTGTATCTGTGTGTATATCTTCTGCTTGTTTTATGAAAGGCACTTTAAAAGAGGCTGCCAACATGTACTTTACTGAATGTCAACAATAATATATTTTTATTTGAGCTAATTTTGAAAGTCTAAAGAAAGGAAGACAGATTTTGTTTTTATTTGACAAACGATTGTTTTCTTTTTAAAAATGAGAATGTCATTCATAAAACACAATTCCTTCCCTTAAAGAGTTGATAAAATAGCAGAGGTGTCAGATACATAAACAGGCAACTTGAATCCTGTGGGATGAGAACTGTCATTACAGAGAGGAAGAATCAGGACATTATGGGCACATAGAGTAGTGGCATCTACGCCAGAATGGGAAAAAGCCTGGATAATTTGCAAAGGAAATCCTGTATTAATTTTTGCCACATTAAAAAAAAATCTTTTTTTAGTCCTGTGGTGTTATTTTGCACTGTTTTATGACCTTTTCCTGGATGATAGGTATTCTGATTACAGAAAAAAAAAAGATTCCTCTTCTCTCTTTTTTTTAAATTTTAAATTATTCTTTCATGTATGTGTCATATGTAGTCTGGGAGCTTGAATTTGGTAAGGCAATCCCAGGCTTGCCATCTTGGCTTAGACAGAACAATAGCATAATCCTCACTAAGGCTTTCTAACTTGTTGTTCTCTTTACATAGTTAGCTCCCTACTCAACTGCAGTCTGCCTGAGGTTGGATTTTGTGGGATTCCTTGATGTACTATTACTTGTTTGCATGTTTTTGGCACATAATACTTCCAAAGGCTGTTTATTGTTAAATGATGAAAAATGTCACTCCACAATTTAAAAAAATCTTCTGTGAACCTCACTGCCTATCAAATGAGGCTCAAGACCTTTAGCTTGGCTTCAAGAGCCACCATAATTAGACATGCCATGTTTTCTCTCACAGCTTCCACCAGTGTAGCCTGTATGCTCCAGCCATACTGAGCCAGTCACCTTTCCCTGAATTGTCCTACACTTCCCTGGTCTCCTATTTCTGCTTCTGGTTCCCCACCCCCAGCTTACCTCTGAAAACCTCATCCTGCAAGGACAAACTTTTCCTGATTCTCCAACTGAAAAGATTGTCTCTCTCCTTTCTGCTTTCATGAAACAGTCAGCTTTGTTTTATATCTATTATGTATATATATCCTATGTATTTTACTTAAGTCTTAGACGATAAGGGGCCATCTTATTTATCTCGTCTTCTTCTATGCCTGGCAAATGATAGTATTTCAATAAATACTGTGTGACAATAAAGACATTCAATAAATACTGACTGATTGTGAAGCAAAGCATTTTTTTTCATTTTTTTTGTTCTGTTTTCTATCTCATCCAAAGGGAAGAGAATTGAATTAATCTAGAAAAAAAAAACAAAACCAGACAGAATGCTAGTGGGAGCAGTTAAAATAAATGAGCCAGAAAGAGCAAGTAAGTGACATGCCTTAGACTTATTTTTTACTATTTTGGCTATCAGCATTAGTGTACTGAAGTCATTTGTTTATGTACTAGTTGATTGACTATATAGTTAAGTCTAAGATTTTGGATTTTTTTTTAAACCCAGAGGAGTCACATTGAAACAAAATTTTATTCTGTCTTGAATAAAATGGGATATATTAGAAACACACTGAAACCTAACTCAGCACTTCTCTGTGTTGGTCTGTTGGCAGTACATTTGGATGTGGGTGAATGTGTAGACAACACTGAAGAATGCTGGCTAACTATATATAGGAAATGAAGTTCCAGCTCTGTCTTTTCTTTGAATTTCTCTTTCCTGGGTGAGAATTGTGAATGGAACAGAGAACTGAAGTAGAGACGGGTTTGGTATTTTGTCTTTTGGTGCTTTCTTTATATAGTTTCTTTTTTAATTGAATGAGGAGTAGAAAATCTGACCATTTTAGTGGACTTATGTGTTTATGTGCGTGTTTAAATCTACAGATGTATCCCTTACCATTTCTTATGCAGATGAATACATTGGCAAGAAATAGAATTTGCTGAGATTTCATAGTAGCATTTCCAAAACTATTTTCCATGAAAAAAATTTTTATTGTATATTATCTTTCGGTTCTTTTGCCAAAGTTCTTTTGGCTGAGCTTTTTTTTTTTTTTTTCTTGCTATATGTCTCTGTGTTCTTTTTCAATGGTTTCTCTAGGATTATAAAACAGATAATTAAATTTTCACAGTCTAAAGTTAACATTGTCCCATTTCATGTAAAATATGAACTCCTCAGTCTTACAGATGTCATATATATTATATTTGCATATTTTAAAGCTCCCTCAATACAACATTTTACTTCTTTAAGTAGCCATATATATTTTGAAGAAATTCAGAGAAAGAGTCTTTTATACTTCCCTACGTATTTACCATTTCCAGCACCCTTCATTCTTTCATGAAATTTCAGCCTTCCATCTAGTCTCATTGTCCTGCAGCCTGAAGGACTTCCTTTAGCACCTCCGGTAGTACAGGTCTGCTGGTAATAAATTATTTTAGTTTTCTTTTATATGAAAATGTCTTTATTTTGCCTTTATTCTTGCAGACAATTTTTTGCTGGATAGAGGATTCTAGATTGGCAGCTTCTCTTCTCCTTCTCTTTCAGCACATTTCTGTTTCTTATTGCTGTTGTAAGAAAGTACCACAAACTTAGTGGCATAAGAAAATGGAAAATTCCTTTTGTCTTCACAGGCAACAATATCATGCTGAGTTCTTACCATGTAAGACTGAGTTCTTATCACTGCCGTCTCTCTGGTTCTTTTATTTGTGTCTTTCTCTTCCTCTTCCATTTTTATTGGATTATTTTTCATTCATTTCACATTTTATTCATATCACATTTTTAAGATTCTTTGTTGATATTTCCTATTTGTTCATTACAAGCATATTTTCCTGTCTTTTCTTGGGCATAGTAATGAAAGCTGACTATAAACATTCTTACCTAGTTTTTGAGGCAGTTGGGCCATTTTGGGTTGGTTTTCATTGATTGAATTTTTTTTTCTTGAGAATGGGTCACCCTGTCCTCTTCCCTCATATGTCTAGTAATTTTGGGTTTTATTCAGAACATTTTTAATATGTTATAGGTTTCTGGATTCTCTTATATTCCTCTGAAGTGTGTGTGTGTGTGTGTGTGTGTGTGTGTGTGTGTGTATTGCTTTAGCATGCTATTATATTGGCAGATGTGTGCTCCAACTTTGTTACCCCTGTGAAGGGCAGCAACTGAAATCACTTTTCAGTTCTTTTAGACTTTTCCGGACTGCTGGGCCTCTCCTCAATGCATGTGGATAGTAGGGGTCACCCAGAGATTCAGGCATTTTATGCACTAGACTCTGGCCCTCACTGGGATTTTTTTCCTGTCACTTTCCTTTTGTTTCTTTAAGAAGCTGCAGATTTCTATCCAACTTGCAGTTGCCCCAGCTGGCACAGCCAGAAAATTTCTGGCTTCAATTTAAAAAGCTTTATAAACAAGAAACTCATCTAGTGTTTTTCATTTATTTTCAAGTGTTAACTCCCTTCCAGTTTCTGTCTGCTTTTGGCCACTCTCTAGTACCTTCAGTTAGTTTTTTTAAATGTCGAATCCAGAGCTTATAGTTGTTATATTTGGTATGTTATATATGGGAGGAGCTGCCTTATTATTACCAGAAGTTTTATTATGGTTGTTGCTTCTAGTGTATGTTCACAGTTTGTTTTTTTTTTTTAATTTTTTTTGGCAAACCAATAAAAAAGGAAGATAATTTTTTTTTATTTGCAAAACATGCTTTACTAGGAATTAGCCTAAGGATTCTCAAAAGTACTGGTCAAAGTCAATGCTTTGGAGCTGCAGACTGCTTATTAATTTAGTTTGATCTTATCTAGATATCCTTCTGGTGCTACTGACCTGGGCCAGGGGTGTCTAATCTTTTGGCTTCCCTGGGCCACACTGGAAGGAGACAAATTGTCTTGAGCCATACATAAAATACACTAACATGAATGATAGCTGATGAGCTAAAAGAACAAAAATCACACAAAAAAACTTATGTTTTAAGAAAGTTTGCAAGTTTGCGTTTGGCCACATTCAAAGCCATGCTGGGCCACAGGTTGGACAAGCTTGACCTAGGCCGAGACCAATTTGCCATCTATTACACTTGATTTCTTCTTAGGAAATTGTGCCTGACACATGGGCATATGGTTGCGCCAGAATGGAGTCATACGGAACTTCTGTAGTATCTGGCGTTGTGCTTTCCAGTACCTCTATGGAGGTTTGGACCATAATCTTGAGAGACACTATCTTGAATGCCATAATTCCAAATGTTGAAATTTTGAAAGATTAAAATCCCTAAAGTCTAGTTTTATTTATTTATTTATTTTGAGACAGAGTCTTGCCCTGTCACCTAGGCTGGAGTACCGTGGCGTGATCTTGGCTTGCTGCAACCTCTGCCTCCGGGTCTCCAGCAATCTTTCCACCTCAGCCTCCCGAGTAGCTGGGGCTGCAGGTAGGAGCCATCATGCCCGGCTAATTTTTGTATTTTTTGTAGAGATCGGGTTTTGCCATGTTGCCCAGGCTGGTCTTGAACTCCTGGGCTCAAGCGATCTGCCCGCCTTGGCCTCCCAAAGTGCTGAGATTATAGGTGTGATTCACTAGCTCCAGCCTAAAATCCCTAAATTCTAAAATCCCCAAATCACAATTCTGAGAGACCAAAATTTCAAAAATATAATTGTGGAATAAAGTTTTAAAAATATTTAAAATACATTTGTTACAATTTTAAAAGAAGACTTTAGAGACATATAAATACATGACTGAACACATTATAGGCCACTTTACACAGTAAAATAGGCAACAATACCATACATGTTCTCTTTGCAAGCATCAACACACAGATATACTAATGGGAGTCACTCAGCTATTATAGCTATGAACAGACAAACTGTATTTATAAAGAAATAGGTCAGAAAGTGAAATGTGTGAACGCTTATTACTATGGTTGGAAATTGTATGCATCCATCGTTGTAACTGCAGTCATCAAAAATACCCTGACAGACATGTTTTGATGAGATGGATCAAAAACCTCTGGTCACTGCCACAAATACAGTCACTCAAAGAGCCAAGGTCTCAAGAAATTTTATCTTTCACAAATGGAGACACAGAAAAAAGGCAGTTCTTCATTTATGGAAGAAGTTTCAGTGTTTTTATGTACATGCACCATGCTTATACACAAAGCAGCATTGTGATAATGCGTGTACTTGGAATAATGTTTCTTACGTCCAAGGCAGAAGAAAAGTCTGTCTCATCTCTCAGAGAGAAAGCAGTTTACCATCTGTGTTTGTTCCCTCTGGACCCAAGGCTGATTGGATGGTGCCCGCCAACATTTTAGGCAGATCTCCACCTACTCCATTCAGAGTCATGTACTAATCTCCTCTGGAAACACCCTTACAGACATATCTGAAATAATGCTTTACCAAGTTACTAGATAACTCTTTAATCCAGTCAAGCTGACACCGAAAATTAAGTCTACAAGTCTACCCCTTGTGAATCTGGCACCTGTACACATCTTAAACCATAGCTAATTTCCAGATGAAGACAACCACAAGATAAGAGTCCTGTCTAACATGATAGAACTAACACGATTCATCCACACTGAGCACAGCGGAAAGCACACGAATCCCTCCCCAGAACTAACAGGATGCAGCCACAGTGAGCACAGTGGAAGGCACACGAATCCCTCCCCAGAACTAACACGATGCAGCGACAGTGAGCACAGTGGAAAGCACACGAATCCCTCCCCAGAACTAACACGATGCATCCACAGTGAGCACAGTGGAAAGCACACGAATCCCTCCCCAGAACTAACAGGAAGCATCCACAGTGAGCACAGTGGAAAGCACATGAATCCCTCCCCCGAACTAACAGGATGCAAAGACAGTGAGCACAGTGGAAAGCACACGAATCCCTCCCCAGAACTAACACGATGCATCCACAGTGAGCACAGCGGAAAGCACACGAATCCCTCCCCAGAACTACACGATGCATCCACAGTGAGCACAGCGGAAAGCACACGAATCCCTCCCCAGAACTACACGATGCATCCACAGTGAGCACAGTGGAAAGCACACGAATCCCTCCCCAGAACTAACAGGAAGCATCCACAGTGAGCACAGTGGAAAGCACACGAATCCCTCCCCAGAACTAACACGATGCAGCGACAGTGAGCACAGCGGAAAGCACACGAATCCCTCCCCAGAACTAACAGGAAGCATCCACAGTGAGCACAGTGGAAAGCACACGAATCCCTCCCCAGAACTACAGGATGCAGCGACAGTGAGCACAGCGGAAAGCACTCGAATCCCTCCCCAGAACTTGGCTTTCAGGATTGCAGCATTTGGGGTTTCAGTGTTTGGGGATTATGATTTTCAGGATTTTCGATTTCAGAGATTTCGACTTCAGGCTAATTTTTACTCTCAGGCCTTTTTTGTTTTTAAAGGCCTGTATACCAATATTTTCAGGGATGATGGCATTCAGGATTGTGTCCTTTGGGATTATAATGGCACCACCCCTAGGTACTAGGCTCTTCCCATACTCAGTAATCACTACTTGTGATTATAGTGGGGATAAATAAGTCTGAAATTTTGAAATATTTTAATTGCACAAATAATGTATAAATGCAATAACTTTATTTTAAATAATTTAAAACATTTTATAACAAAGGCAAAATTCCCCTTCATCATTGTCCTTAATCCCTGTTTTCTCCCACCGTCCTACCCTCCTTCCTAGAAGTAGCCACTGCTGGCATTTTGGCACCTCACCTTCAGCATTACACATCCCCACTCCCACAATTTTTTTTTACAGACACACACAAAAAATTGTTTTGTGTTGTTTTGATAAGCAGCACCATATTGTATATATATCTGCAACATCCTTATTTTTACTTACTTACACATCTTAGATATCTATGTTTATTACATATGGATTTACTGTATTTGACATTCTATACTCCAGTGCTTCTGCTGATAGAATTAATTTATCCTATTGTAATCTTCTTAGGAAACCCTTCAACAAGTATTTCTGATCGAACCAGTAAAGCCTCATTGTTTTGGAGCCTACTTACTTGAAATCTGTAATAATTATGCCTAGAATAGAATTAAAATTTATGGTTGCCAATTAATGACTTAAAAGAATATTTGTCCCCACTAAGAGATAAATAGCTTTTAAATACCAGTTTAAAACATACCAATTACACATAAATTTTTATCTGTGTTTCATTATCTAACAAGGCAGTGGCTTGTTCTGCTGACCCTTAAGCATTTGCAGGCGATAAAAGGTGCATGCCATTAAAACCATCCTCCAGTAGGACTGGGCACTAATTAGGACTTTGCTTAGGTGAACGTAAACACAATGGCTCCCTCTCCACTTTATCTCGCCATTCACTTTGTTCTGTTGCTTTTTGATCAGGGTTCTGACAGATCCTCAGGTCGGTGCTTCACCTCTTCGTGAGGAGGACTCCTCTTGGGGCCCATCTCTGGGTACTTTGGGGAAGTGAATACAGGAAGATTATCTTATGGTGTTGTAGTACCCTGAAGCTTTTCATCATTTTGGATGTCACTTTAAAAAGACAAAATGGAAATGAATAAAAGCTAATAACTAAAAGCGCATTATTTTGAGATGGATACGTGTATAAAGTCTCTTACAGATTGCTGCAGAAATGCCCAGATGTATTTCTGGCTAAAACACCAAGAGAGTATATTTGGACCTAATCGATATTAGATACCACTTTCTCTTTCTCCTTTGAGAATTAAACTCACTTGTGGCATTTTCCTCATCATCCATAAAAGTAAGATGAATGTTATCAGTTCAGCCCTCAGGATGGAGGTCCCGGGAAATGAAAAGAAGGACCAGAGACTGCTGTTGCCGTAGGTTTAGAAATTGCCAGTTCCCACCTCACTAGTTTTCGGTGTGTCTCTTGGTAGTCTTTGACTCTCTAAGTTCCTGTGCCTCTCACCCTTCAAGATAGTCTAGGACGGGCAGGGCAACCATCTCTCAAAGCATGGATCCACTCTCTGAACACAGATTTAGGCCTAAGAAGTGGCCAGCACCTCCACAAGCCTGCCTCATTGACGGGGAGAGGGAAGGGGGCAATTGAGATTCACTTCCCCCCAAACTAAGGCTCCACGTAGGAGGGATGTGGGGGAGATGATGGTATCTGGGGCAGTCCAATAGCTCACTGTCCATCTAAGCATTCCTGGGAAGAATGACAACAGTCTCATTCGTCCTGCCCACCACCAACCCCAAATGGAATAAATGGAATTCAGCCTTCGCAGGCAGCTGGAGGAGTGAGCCTGCTGCTGCCTCTGCCTCAGGATTCTTCAGAGGAAGCCACAAAGGGTTTGGATGGGGGTGAACTTCAAAGTGGCATGATGAAAAGCTCGAGGTGATGTCTTCCGGGATTTAGCAATGCCATCTTTCTGTTTTATGTTGGCTTTCTTTCTTGATTTGGGATTGTGTTTATCAGTTCGGCTTATTAATATTAAGTAATTACAAACAATCATACATGCATTTAGGAACTTATGTTTAATCTCTGGCAACAGCATAGTTTATTGGCAAAAACAAATGCACATACACTGTAGGTTAGTGATGAACATCAGCAGACAGGCCTGCTCTTGAGATTTTTGTCTAACTGAGGAGCGTCATTACCATGGCAGTATTGTTCTGTTTTATGTGAAATGTGTTGGATATTTATGTTGAGTTTAAGATATCTGGCACGAAGCTTTCCTCACACAGAAGAAAATTTTCACAACTTTTGCAGATTCTCAGTTTGTTTTCTTTTATTACAAATTAAAACATTTTGATTTAGATTTTCTGTTTCACAATTTTCATTTTTATGGTAGAACATGATAAGGCAGCTACAAGGTCATGACTAAGAATACAGAGTCCAGAAGCAGACAGGCTGTGTGACTGGGGGCGGTTATCTCTGTGCTCCAGCTACAGCATCTCAAAATTGGAGAGAATCTAAATGATGTTCTATGTAGTTGGTCGCCTTTGTCATGTTATATTTTCAGATGAGAGCCACCTTGTTTTCTGCACAGACATATCCTAGTCAGTGATTCTTCTCCTTCCCATGTTGGTTTTTGATGGTTTCATTTTTGAAAAGGGAGACCAGCTTTTCATTCGCTTTTTCAGCAGAAGCATAAGGTAAGACATAAGGGGTAAGGTAAGGCATAAGTTGGAGGTATGACTGGTAATTCTGGATTGATGGCTTTGCAAAAGGATGGCTGTTATGCCTGCGGAACTGGCTCCCCTCCAAGAACCATTCACACTGACTTCATATTAAGGAGGTTCTTTGATTTGTTACTAATAAGAGTAGTATTTTTTATTGTGGTTTTTATTAGTGTAACAATAACAAATGCTTCTGTAGTTCATTATTATGAACAGTAAACTCATGTACCTGATTATGCTTTTTGTCGAGATGAGGAAACTGTGGTAGGGGTTTGACTGGTAGCAGGTTGCAGGCACCCTGCGCTCCGTCTCTATGTTCTTGTTCTTCCCTCAGCCTTTCTGCCCCCTCCCAGTCATAGCCTCCCTCCTGAGCTCTGCATCCATCAGCAAAGACTTTAACCATTTAGGTTTAGATCATCATTACTTCTGACTATTCGTTTTTGATTGTGTTGTCAGAAGACTTTTTGTTATAAAGAAGAGAATTATAAAACATAGATTTGAAGCAAGCATAGCATATTTGTACCCTTTTAACAGAGGTGGCAGTGAAATGACAGCTTTTTGCTGCGTGGGTGTTCTTTTTTTTTTTTTTTTGCTGACCTGTAGTTTGATTTCCAGTGTCTAGACTTAACAGTCTGAATTTAAACACGAGGCATATACACAAAATCATCTGGAACTGATTTTTTCACACTAAACACTTCTTTCTGATCCTACTTTCCAGGAGGCTCCTTCCTCCAAACATACCTCCAGATGAAAATCACTTAATTAACCAAGAAAGACTCAACCGCCCTTAACTGCTTTTCTAAACAGTCACACATACTGGATTTACTTATTTTGAGACATGACAAACCAGTTGCAAACCACAAATTCATTCTCATGGGCCCTCCACACGGTCTCTTGTTCCTTCTGAAGAGGGTCTTGCTGAGGACCATTTGTCCCCCTTCCTGCAGCAGCTACTCAGTCGGTGCCGGAGAGTGTGGCCTTTCGAACTATTTGCGGTTTTCCTGCCACATGATGCTGACGGACCTCAGCCTCTCCCGGCCTTGGTGCACATACAACAGCCTGTAAAAGCTCCACTTTCTATTCCAGATTGCTGTTATGCGTCTGCTTCTCATTCAAAGGAAATAAGAGGAGATGTAAATCGTCGCTGTGCAGTTACGTGTTTAATGAAAATGATCTTGCATGCTAGATTCACGTCCAGGAGCGAGTCGCCCTTACTGCTGGTATTGAACTCACTCTCCTTGGAGCGCCCCAAGGCTGTGGGCTGTGGGGGGGCATTAGTGTGTGTGGGCGCAGCTATTATTTGTACCAGGAGGCACAAGTCTGCACAGCAACCTGAAGATTTAGATTTTCAAGAAACTGCAAATCCTGACACACCTGGTGATAAAACCCAGATGCTCTCCCCAACTCATACCTTGTCCCGCAACTCCCACTCCCCACTTCCTGACTAGACTTTTTATTTTTTGGTCCAGAAGATAGGGGTAAGAGAAGAATGCTGAAGGGAGTGAGTGGATGAGAGAATGCTTGGCTTACTTGCCCATTAGATAGTTCCAGCTCCAAATACTGTTCTAATTAAGAACAAAATAAAACCATTCTCCCCCACTGGCTGTCTGGTATGTAGACAAATTTGGAAATAGGTAAACAGTTGCTGTATTAGAATTGGGTATATTTTAGCTTGATGACAATATTTACTTGATTTTATCACTGAAGAGAATCACGATCTTTGTGACATATACAGTCCTTCTTATTCTTTTAGCTCTATCTTTATTAAACTAGATTGTCATCAAATGGTGGTACGTGACTTCAAAAGGACTCTACCAGCTCTTATTCACCGGAATTTTTACTTTTATTGACTATCTAAAAGTTTACCGCTTCAAAGAAAGACTGTTCCTACTGAGATAAAGTACTGAATTCTGCCACTCTCTCCTCCTGTCCCAGACTTTAATTATAAAATCACAATCACACCAGATAGTAAGCCTTAAATATTTTAACATTTTTCCCAGTGGGAAGACAGCAACACATAAAACGACATGCAATTATATGAAAAGATTTATTTGTCCCTGACCCAGGAAGCTATGCACCAGTGCTTTCAGATAATAGTCTGCCCGGCCCACCCTGAGGGATCTAATGAATTAACATAAATACCTGTGAGTAGGTTAAGTACACACAAGGAGCAGATTACAAAAGAATGAAAACTTAAGCAATTAGCAAGGATTTTAAAACATTGATCTATCAGGTGTTCTAGAAAGTATTTGCTTCTACATTTCGAGTTTAGCTCAAATTTTACTGAGCAGCTTAAACAGCACTGTCTGCTTTTGCCTCTAGGTCACAGGTCATTGTCAAATTCATTTATAAGATAGTTTCAATCTGTACTTATTTAGCAGTGCAGAGAATTTTAGACACACTACCTTTTCACTGTTTGTAAAAAAAAATTTGAAAAATAAGAATTGTAATGTAAAAAATATTGGAAGACTAATTCTTAACCTACATGAAGAAACAGTTTTCAGCAGCTTTCTAAATGTCTTGTTTACATCCAAATTGTTGAGAAGCTCGTTGCCAATCTGTTAATTCATGAAAATTCAACCTTTTAGGATGTCCACTAAGCTGCCTTTTATTAGCCCGGTTTGAATGACTGTGTTCGTACTTGAGATGAGTTGAACTGAATTGCCTTAAAAATTCAAATCTGTAATGAATTCATAAGGAGTTTTCATCCCAAAGTTCAAATTGGTAGGGCCTAGTAATAACTTTAGACATTTATGTGGTGACGAGCTTTTAATCTTCCTTAAGGTTTTTAAAACTCTGCATGTACTGTCCTTCTTCTATGTTCTCTTGTCCTTTTAGTTGGTTTTGGTAGAAATTTTATAAGGCAAATTAATGAAAGTTATCTCCTGAGTGGCAGTTTACAACAAAAACAGATGTAAAGGAGAAAAAAATGAAATGAAAATTTGGATTAAAGAAGAAAAAAGTCTCATGTTAGTAACAGATATAACAAAAAGAGTGAACTCTACGTGGCTATAAGTTCCTTGACAGCAAGGACTTTGCCTTTCTTAGGTGGAATCTATTGACATGTAGAGAAGGAATGTTTTACTTAGGAGGTTGTCAAGGAATGTCTGTCAAGTAGGGGTAGAAGGAAGGAATTAACAGGGCTTTGAGAACATTCTCACATTTGAAGTGCTAATAATTTCTGGTGTGAATTTGGTGATAACAGTGTTTCAGTATTTAATATTAATTTGAATTTTCTGGCTGGTTATTAACTTGAGTTACGTTTATAGGTGATGAAACAAACGAAGAGGATTGCATGTTTATACACAGTAGAACTTGAGGGTTTTCTAATAAGCATACTTTAACATTGCCTCAGCCTGTAAATCTGGGATTACAAGGCAGATAAGTTTTAGGGTGATTACTTCTTTCACCCCATAATTACTTCATGGATTTGCCGTGGTGTTTCTGTAAGTAGTGAGCATCTCTAGTAAACTGACATTTTGATTCTATTTAAACAACTCATTTTACCCAGTTTTTCAGCAGCACATTGACTGGATAAAGTAAGGCGCGCATCTGTCCTCACTTTTTTGAGTCTTGCTCCTAAGTCTTGTGAAGAAAATATGGGTGCACGTATGCATTCCTTTATTTAGAGTAACTTCATTGCATGAAGTTGAGCTGAAGAACTAGGAGGAAAATAGCTCTTTTTGTAAGTTGTGCTTTAGGAGACTTTGGATTTAGCTAGGAATGGGATACTGAGAAAAACTGAGGTTTCACCTCCTCTAAACAATGGGACAGTGTTCTCATCTCTTTGGGACTATATACATATCTATTTATATCCTGCTTTAGTCCAGAAGGAATTTCAGCTTTGGAAAAAACCATGCACACACACAAAGATACAAATAAAGTGTAAGTGAAGTAATCAGAGTAAGAGGTTGGGGAAGGTAAGTCGAAACCAAAAGTGTAATTAGTATACAGATTATAGGCTCTGCAGACCTACACGGTCACAGGAAGACCACCACATATTTGGCTGTTAGCTTTTGAACAAAGCCAATGCAAAGAGGATAACATGAACGATGCACGGTTCCCAGTGTCTGTGCCAAAATCGTCTAAGTTCAGTCCGGTCTAGAAGGCCGGGGGATGGAGCTGACCTCAGGGGAACCCTGCTGAAGTTGTGACATTTATTCAGTCAAGAAGTATTTATTGGACATGAACAATTTGTCAGTGACCATGCTAGACACTGGGGATACGCAGTCCCACCTTTAAGGACACACAGTATAGGGGATAGATCAATAAAATAGACTGAAATTGCAGTGCAGTGGGATAAATGCCGTGGAGGGGAGTAGGCATGAGGTATTAGACTGGGAGACGGGGATATCTGGGGAAGATTTGTGTTGGTGCCTCAGCTGACTTCTAAAGCCTACATACTTCTTAACCCAGGCAAAAGTGGAAATGCATTCTAGGTAGAGGACAAGTAGCCAGAACAAAGTGACAAAGGTAAGAAAGTGCCATGCTTTCTGAGAACTGCATTTAATAGTTCAGTTTGACTAGAACAGAGAGTACAAAAGGGAGAAAGTGTTGAGAAATTAGAGAGAAAACTTGGGCACATCAGAAAAAGGCCCTGTTTTCCACTATGCTCGGGAGGTTGAGGGCAGTGGGCAGCCTTCCCGGCAAAGAGCCTGTGGAGAATGGATGGAAGGATAGGCAGGAGACAAGGTAGGAGTTCCGGCAGTGATGCGAGCAAGAGAGAACAGAGGCCTCCATTAAAGCCCGATAGTGAGGACAGGAAGAAGGGAGTACAGGGAAGTTACTCAGGAGCAAAATTGACAGGATTTGGCCTAGAAGAGATGAGGGACAGTGAAGAAGTAGGAATTGGGATTATTTCTTGGTTTCTGGCCTAGTCGCTGTGCAGAAAAGAGTTAACCTAGCAGGCCTAAACTGCTTATCCTTGAAAAGACCTGGGCTGGGCGTGGTGGCTTACGCCTCTAATCCCAGCACTTTGGGAGGTTGAAGCGGGTGGATCACTTGAAGTCAGGAGTTCGAGACTGGCGTAGGGAACATAGCAAAACCCTGTCTCTACTAAAAATGCAAAAATTAGCCAGGCATGGTGGCATGCGCCTGTAATCCCAGCTACTCGGGAGGCTGAGGCAGGAGAATTGCTTGAACCTGGGAGGTGGAACTTGCAGTGAGCTGATACCATACCACTGCACTCTAGTCTGGGCAGCAGAGGAAGACTGTTAAGAGAGAGAGAGAGAAAGGGAGGGAGAGAGGGAGGAAGGGAAGGAGAGGGAGGGGAGAGGAGGGGAGGGGAGGGAATGGGAGTGAGGGAGGGAAGGAAGGAAGGGAAGGAAGGGAAGGAAGGAGGAAAGGAAGGAAGGGCAGGCCCACAAGTTTGGCCCTTGGCTGACATTTAGCAACTGAGATTTCAGCAAGTGTTTCCCCCTTATCTGGTAAGAGTGGCTGACAGTGCCTAAACTGTTTGTGTCAACATTATGGTTTATGCTGATCCCCTGCTGTCCTTCCAGGAGTCCAAAATTAGAGGCTGCCTACAGGCGATTGAACTCCAATAAAGACCCTGGGTACTGAGTCTCTAATGGGTTTCCCTGACTGGGACATTTCTCACGTTATCACAGCTTTTTGTAGGAGGAGTGAAGTGCCTCCCTTGTGACTCCCTGGGGGAAGGCCCTTGGAGGCTCCCACTCTGTTTCCACAGACTTCTCCCCATGTGCCTTTCCCCTTGCTGACTTCGCTTGGTGTTGTTTCCCTGTAATAAACTGCAGCTGTGAGTACGACTGTGTGCCGAGCCCTGAGAGTCTGCCTAGTAGATAACTGAAACTGAAGGTGGTCTTGGGCTCTTCCTGATGCAGTCAGCTGTGGATGTAGTGGTACCTCTCATAGCATAAAGAACGCAAAAGTGGTAGCAGGTTTGGGAGTGGGAGCAGTGATGCATTCTGCTGTAAGTTTTCCAAGGTAGTCACTTATATTGCTTTACTAGGGTTATTTTGAGCTAGCATTTATTATTATATGTTTTCTATTTCAAAATTAAGTTACCAGGAAAATCTAATTTTTTTCAACATACCTTCGCTCATTAATTAATTCATTCAGCAAGCATTTGCTGAAACGTTATTGAACATTTGGAACTGGTTAGGCATTTTAAGTGCCATAAGGATGCTTAGGAATATGGGTCAAGTGTTCAAAGGGGTTATAAATACACTGGGTAGGTAAGACATCATCTGCCTTTGAAAAATAAAATAGCATTCATTTCAAAAATGAAATGTTAAAATATATCAATATGTAAACATTTTGTCCTTGAGAAATTAACCAAGGCATTCTTGGGTTAGTGGTCCAAATGACTAGCATTTGTAATTGGGAAAATTGTAATCCAAAACAGACACACCACATATTAGGTTCATCATCACTAGGACAATTTTTGTCCTCTTCTGGTGTCACAAGATGTTTAAAACCAAGATTCAGAGTGTTTTCAGTGATTTAGGAGTTCTGTAATTGCAGTCACTGTGGAGAGGTGCTCTAAATTCAGCACATTTTCAGTGGTACTCCTGATGGATGTTTTTTCTCGCAGAAAGGCCAAGTCATTGTCAAATGGTAGACTATAAAGATCCCCAAATCAGTGACTAACCTCTTTATGATCTCGGGGAAATATTCTGTGGATTTTTTTCTCCCCACTCAGGAACAATGAATGGTGACGATCTTTAAGTCAATGATGTGAATGAATCACATGTGGATGAACTAAGGCTCTTTCCTGATTCTCAGTCCTAATGAGCAGCTCTTCATTTAACCTGTGGGATTCGTTTGTGCTGCCCTGAAAAACTATGAAGTTTTGGCTTGAGGTTGTTGAGATCCTAAGGAAATATCAGCCAAATAAGTCATTTTATTAAGTTAGATGAAAAATCAATTCACTTCCCTTTTTCAGATTTTTATATTGTAACGTTGTGGCCTTTTTTCCCTCCATGAAGAAAAATAAGAATTCAATCTTTGGTTTAGAAACTCTGAGAAGCACCACCTCTTGATCAGGCAATGCACGTCTTTGTAATAGTGCCGGTCTATCAAGGCAGCTCTCATTTCATCACTAACGAATCAAAAGCTTCTTTCACATCACTGTTTCTGGGTTTTTGTGTATATTTTGTTAGCTTTAACTTTTAAAATTATTTTATTTTTGAGACAGGGTCTCACTCTGTCGCCCAGGCTGGGTGCAGTCATGTGATCGTGGCTCACAGCAGCCTCAGCCTCGCTCAAGCGATCCTCCCAGTTCAGCCTCCTGAGTAGCTGGAACTACAGGCATGCACTACCATGACTAGCTAATTTTTCTTTTCTTTTTTTTTTTTTAAGTAGAGATGGCGTCTTGCTGTGTTGCCCAGGCTGGTCTTGAATTGTGTTCAAGTGATCCTCCCACCTCAGCCTCCCAAAGTGCTGAGATTATAGGCACGAGTCTCTGTGCCTGGCTTTTTCTTTTTTTCTTTTACCATTTTATTGGACTTGATGTGGATTTCCCTACCACGCATTTGATCCTAAAGAAACTCTATCAGCACATTTTTTCCAGGTGATATGTGTTTGCTGAAATAGTCATATGGTACCTACCAGTCCTTACTCATATATCTTTTTGCAGTTATTTTTACAAGAATTTAAGCACTTGAGACATTTCTTTTTTGTGTGTGTGCGTGTGACGGAGTCTTGCTCTGTCACCCAGGCTGGAGTGCAGTGGTGCCATCTCGACTCACTGCAAGCTCCGCCTCCTGGGTTCATGCCGTTCTCCTGCCTCAGCCTCCCGAGTAGCTGGGATTATGGGTGCCTGCCAGCACGCCTGGCTAATTTTTGTACTTGTAGAGCTGGGGTTTCACCAGGTTGGCCAGGCTGGTCTCAAACCCCTGACCTCATGATCCGCCCGCCTCGGCCTCCCAAAGTGCTGAGATTAGAGGCGTGAGCCACCATGCCTGGCCTAAAACATTTATTTCTAATGAGAATGAATATGTGAATAAAATCAGCATTCTGTTAGGAATGAAAAGGAATAGATGTGTGTAGTCAGCCAGTTAGTGTACACTAAACCAGTTGGTATTGTCAGTAGCAGTAAGAGTGACTGTCTCCTCAGACTTTTGATGGGCTGGCTTAGAAAAGTAACATGAAGATAAAGTGGGTCCTGGATGTCTTTCTTTATGGGAGCTGAGTGATTATGCCAGACATGAGATCTAGGACTCATTTTGCAAATGAAGAAAAAACAGCTGAAAACTTGTCAATAAAAATGATAACCAAAGGAGAAATTATCATATGATCCAATTTAGTAATGACTGAGGGATCATAAAAATTTATTAAAATGAATAACAGTTTATTGCTTTTCTGCTTTTTCTATTTTTTTCCTTTTTTATCTTCAGAAATCAAGAAAGACATTTTGCTGCTTTGGGAATGTTATGCCATTTTTGTCGTTAAACGGAATATTTAGAGTTAAGATATGATTAGGATAAGGTAAAACCTTATGAAATGTTCTCACATATAAATGTATGGAACTTTTCAATTAGCTGTTTAAAATGAAATATTTATATATGGAGATCTTCTCAGATATATAATGTTTAAAAAAAAAAACGCAACCTTTATTTTTATTTTTTGAGACAGTCTCGCTCTGTTGCCCAGGCTGGAGTGCAGTGGCATAATCGTGGCTCACTGTAGCCTCAACTTCTTGAGCTCAAGCCATCCTCCCATCTCAGCCTCCTAAGTAGCTGGGACTACAGATGTGTGCCACCATGCCTGGCTAAGTTTTTTTCTTTTAGTAGAGACAAGGTCTTGTAATGTTGCCCAGGCTGGTCTATCCTGAGTCTGAGCTCAAGTGATCCTTCCACTTCGGCCTCCTAATATGCTGGGATTATTACAGGTGTGAGCCATTATGCCCCGCCAACTTTTTTTTTTAAAGCAATATATTTAGTGGTCTCTGGAGTAGCTCTGTCAACACTGTCGAATTTGAAATTGTAACTTAAGTATTCTGTACTGTCTTCTCTATTTTAACTTTCATATTAATGCTTAAATGCCTACTGTTCCAACATAAATGGATTTTGCTTAACAAATACTGTGAGTGATTGGGCTCTTACCAGTTTAAGCTGGCTTCCACAAGCAAGGGGCACATTTCTTCTTCATTAGTTCTCCTGATTGAGTTTCAGAAAATGAAATCTTATTATGCCACAAAATAATCGTATCTTACTTGCCTTTTTCCTGAAGCTTCTCAAAAGTTTTTAAGACCTTTTAAAAGGAAAGGAATGGTTTTTTTTCTTAAATCCATCTGTTCCTCAGCCTCAAGTCTAAGATAACGTCTGAGATATGTTGTTTTCAGTTTAGACTCACAAGATATGCAGCACTTGGGCATGGCAATGGCTGGCTCACCATGCTTGATAATAAAATAGGAGAAAAAGGTCCTAGTGCCAGTGGAGTCGAGAGAGACAAAACACCTCCAGTTGGTCATATCTCTGTTCAGTTTTTCAGAACAATGGATTTAACTACTTTTAATAGTTCTTCTGTTAGTATAGAATACTTAAAGTCATCTTAATTTGATTTTTTTTTTTCTCTAGGTAAATGTGTTTTATTATCCCTGCCTCTGCTGGCTTAGAAAATCTAGCAAAAGCCTGCCACTTGAGTTGGCTGTAACATCAGACCCAAAGGATCTATTGCCTCCCTCGTTTACTTTTACCGCTGGTGAATTTGCAGTCCATTAGAAATGTGGAGTTGTGGGCCGGGTGCGGTGGCTCACGCCTTTAATCCCAGCACTTTGGGAGGCCGAGGCAGGCGGATCACAAGGTCAGGAGATTGAGACCATCCTGGCTAACACGGTGAAACCCTGTCTCTACTAAAAATACAAAAAAATTTAGCCGGGCATGGTGGCGGACGCCTGCAGTTCCAGCTACTCGGGAGGCTGAGGCAGGAGAATGGTGTGAACCCGGGAGGCGGAGCTGGCAGTGAGCGGAGATCATGCCACTGCACTCCAGCCTGGGCGACAGAGACTCCGTCTCAAAAAAAAAAAAAAGAAATGTGGATTTGAGTAGGTAAATGGGCACCTTTGTTAACTATGAGAAACATTATCTATAGATTACTTTTATTACAATAAAAGTCCTTCTATACTATTTAATTTTGAAAATTTCCAACAATTTTTATTGTTTCCTCAATAAAAATGGTTTTGCTTTTGTGAGCTGCTATAAGTTCTGTAGAACAGCAAAATGTTGTATATGGCTTCTAGACTGCCAGCTGTTATACTTGGCTATAAAAAGCTTTCCTCAAGCTTCCTTGTACTGGCTTTTGAAAGACAATCTTCCAAATGTTTGAGAAAGTGTAAAATTTTTATTTCCCTAGAAAGAGAAAGGCAGGAAAATGACCCGATTCTGCCAAAGATAAATGAATCATTTATTATTTCGTAAGATAACGTGCTGCTTCAGGTTACTGAATGGGGTTTTCTTTCATCATTCATAGTTTCCACCATACATGTTTTTTAAAAAGATGATTTTTGAAGAGCAAATTTAGGTTCACAGCATAATTGAGAGGAAGGTACAGAGTTTTCTCATATCCCTCCTGCCCTCCTCCCCCACCTCCAACACAAAACACACAGCCTCCCTCATTCTCAGCATCCTCTACCAGAGTGGGACATTTGTGACAGCTGATGAACCTCCATGGACTCTTCATTATCACCAAAGTTCAGCTTCTGTTAGCGTTCACTCTTGGTGTTGTACATTCCGTGTTTGGACAGATGAATACTGATATGTATTTACCTTTATGGCATTATACAGAGGTGCTCTGTGCCTCACCTGTTCATCTCTCTCTCAACTCTCATCCCTGGCAACCGCTGATCTTTTTACCGTTTCCATAGCTTTATCTTTTCCAGAATGCTATATAATCGGGATCATACAGCCTTTTCACACTGCCTTCTTTCGCTTAGTAGTATGCATTTAAGATTGCTCCGTGCCTTTTCATGGCTTGATAACATCACTTACTTTTAGTGCTAAATAATTGTCCATTGTCTGGATGTGCAACAATTTGATTATCCATTCACCTTCTGAAGGCCATCTGGGTTACTTCCAAGTTTGGGGAGTTATGAATAAAGCTGCTGTCAGTATCCACATGCAGATTTTTGTGTGGACATAAGTTTTTAACTCCTTTGGGTAAATAACAAGGAGTAAGATTTCTGGATTGTGTGATGAGTATGTTTAGTTCTGTAAGAAATTGCCAAACTGTCTTCCCAAGTGGCTGTACCATTTTGCGTTCCCATCAGCAGTGAACGAGAGTTCCTGTTATTCCACATCCTTGCCAGCATTTGGTGTTATCAGTGTTCCGGATTTGGCCATTCTAATATGTGCGTAGTGGTATCTTCTTGTTATTTTAATTTGCATTTCCCTGATGACATGTGATGTGGAGCATCTTTTCATATGCGTATTTGCCATCTGTATCCATCATACATTTTTAATGCAAAAACTATATTTGAGGAACAGCAATGCATTTTAAGGGAGAGAGAGTGGGAGGGAGGAAAGAAGGAAGGAAGGACAACATTAGTGAATTCAAACCACTACCTGTAAAAGTAGCTTTTTCTTTTTCAGTTCTGCATGTAACTCTACCTGTACCTAGCTATTACAGATAGACCATAGCTGTTATAGGTAGACTATATGGAAGAGGAAGGCTAATATTTATTGAGAATTTCGTATGCCTCTAACGCTATGTTAAGCACTTCACATCCATTATTTAATCATCACAAAAGCCCTTTGAGGTAGATGCAATTATTATTATTGTTATTTTTATAGACAATGTCTTACTGTGTTGCCGAGGATGGACTTGAACTTGGAGTCAGATCTTTCTACCACAGCTTCCGGAGTAGCTGGGACCACAGGCAGGTGCTACTGTGCCCAGATAGTTACAATTATAATCCGCATTTTGCAGTTGAGAAAACTGAGGCAAAGGGAGATCACGTCAGGTCACAGCAGTAGGACGGGACCTGGGAAGTGTGACTGTGGAGTGTGTGTTCTTAATCTGTGTGCCCAATTGTTAAGTAAGGAGAAATTACAAAAGACAAAGGTTTCAATAACTCTTTGCAAGAAGTCCTTAAATGTGAACAGAAGTACCTATTTTCCACACATTTTATGTCCTTTTTTTTTCTTTTTAGTTTACATGTATTTATGGGCTACAGAGTGATATTTCGATACATGTATATAATGCATAATGATCAAATCAGGGTAATTAGCATATCCATCAGCTTGAACATTTATCATTTTTGCCACACTTTTTATCTTGTTGATAGTGCACAATTTTCATGGCTTTGCCTCTTGTTATTTCCCCTCATGTATGTAGGTCTGGTGAAATCACACGTAGGGAGAACATTTTTACAATGCACATTTGTGAAGGCTTAGAAACACGGTGGTTACAAACTGAGCTTTGCCACTTAATCTCGTGTGACCTGGATAAACGACTTCATACCAAACTTCATATAGTTTCCTCATCCATAAACCTGTAACACTCAGGCTTATTGGAGTAACATATGAAATGGAGGTTATCTAAGTATTTGTTGAATGAATGTCCCCCTGCCCGCACTCCCTCCGTTTTTTTCTTTTTCTCCTGCTTCCTATGAAATAGAAAACTGGTAGGCATTGCAGGATGAAATGAGGAAAGGCAGGGAGGAGAGGCATAAAATATATTCTTGCTAATTTGCTAGTGTCTTTTTTTCCCCTCATCAACTTTATTGAGCAATAATTTTATGCAGTTAAATGAATCTATTTAATTGGATGAATTTTGACAGTTTTATATACCCATGAAGCCACAGTCACAATCAAGATAGAGAACATTTCCATTACTTCCAAAATATTTCTGTGCCACTTTTTTCTTTACTATTTCCTTATTGTAGTAAAATGTATATATAATGAAATTTTCCATTATGACCACTTTTAGGTATACAATCCAGTAGCATTAAGTGCATTCATGTTGTTCTGCACCCGTTACCACTGTCCAGCTCCAGAACTCTTTTTCATCATCCAGAACTGAAACTTTGAACCCATTAAATGATAACTCCCCATTCCCCTTTTGCCCCAGCCTCTGGCAACCACCATTCTACTTCCTGTCTCTCTGATTTTGACAATTCTAGGTACTTCTATAGGTTGAATCGTACAATATTTGTCCTTCTGTGTCTAACTTCTTTAATTTAGCATAATGTCTTCAAAGTTCACCAATATGATAGTATTGATCAGAATTCCCTTCCTTTTTAAGGCTGAATAATATTGCATTGTATGTATATACCACATTTGATTTCTCCATTCATCTGTTGATGCATATTTGGGTTATGTCCACCTTCTGGCTATTGTGAATAGTACTGCAGCGAGCAAAGGTGTGCCAATACCTATTTGAATCTGTGCTTTCAGCTCTTCAGGTTATATACCCAGAAGTGGAATTGCTGGATCATATAGTAATTATTTTTTAAAATTTTTTCTTGTCTTCTTTTATTTTTAAAGACTAGGTCTTGCTATGTTGCCTAGGCTGGCTTTGAACTCCTGGTCTCAAATGAGTCTCCTGCCTCAGCCTGCAGAGTAGGAGTACCTGGGGCTGCAGATGTATCACTGCACCCAGCTCGTGTTTAGTCTTTTAAGGAACTGCCAGACTGTTTTCCACAATAGCTGCACCGTTTTGCATTCCTACCAGTAACGCACAAGGCTTCCAGTTTCTCTACATCCTTGCCAACATTTGTTTTTTTTTTTGTTTTTTTCTGAGACAGAGTCTTGCTCTGTCACCCAGGCTGGAGTGCAGTGGCACCATCTCGGCTCACTGCAAGCTCTGCCACCCGGGTTCACTCCATTCTCCTGCCTCAGCCTACTGAGTAGCTGGGACTACAGGTGCCCACCACCACGCCCGGCTAATTTTTTTGTATTTTTAGTAGAGACGGGATTTCACCATGTTAGCCAGGATGGTCACGATCTCCTGACCTCGTGATCCGCCCGCCTCGGCCTCCCAAAGTGCTGGGATTACAGGCGTGAGCCGCCGCACCTGGCCTTTTTTTTTTTTTTTTTTTTATAGTCATCCTAATGAGTGTTAAGGTGGTATTTTATCATGGTTTTGAATTTGCATTTTCCTAATGATTACTAATGTTAAGTATCTTTTTATGTGCATAAAAATGGCCATCTATATATCTTCTTTGTACCTGTACCCTTTTTCAGTCTATCCCTCACCCACCCCCAGCCCCAGCTGATTAGTGATCTCCTTTTTGTCACTGTACATCAACTTGCATTTTACATAAAGTGAAATCAGTATGTACCCTTACATCCAACTGTTTTCGCTTAGCATAATGGTGTTGAGATGTATTCATATTATTGGACCTATCAGTAATTCATTCCTTTCTGTTTATGAATAGTGTTGTGTTGTGTAGACATACCACATTTTATTTATCCATTAACCTCCTGATGGACATTCACTGTGAACATTCATGTACAAATCTTTGTATGACATACGTTTTCTCTTAGGAAAATATCTGTGGTCACAGTGGCTACGTTATATGGTTAGTATTATATCTAACTTTATAAAAAACTACAAGACTGCTTTCTGAAGTAGTCGTGACTTTTCGTGTTCCCCCCAGTAGTATATGAGAGTTCCAGTTGCTCTGCATCATCACCAAGACCTGGTAGTGTCAGTCTTTTTAATTTCAGCCATTCTAATACGTGCTCGGTGGCAGTCCAGTGTGGTTTTAATTCCCATTTCTAATTAGTTAATGCTACTGCTTATCTTTTTAAGTGCTTTTTTGCCATTTGTATCTTTTCTTTTGAGAAGTATTTGTTCAATCTTTTGCCTATATTATTTTGGGTTGTTTTCATGTTGTTGAGTTGTAAGAGTTCTTTATATGACATGGATACAAGTCCTGGGTCAGATATGCATTGCAAATATTATCTCCTTACTTGTGACTTGTCTTTTTGTTTTCTTAATGGCATCTTTTGAAGAGCCGAAGTTTTTAATTTTAATAAAGTTCATTTGATCAATTTTTACTTTTATAGTTTGTGTTTTCTTCTTTTATTTAAGAAATATTTTCTTAGGGAAAGTCACAAATATTTTCTAGGAGTTTTCTGTTTTAGCATTTACATTTCAATTTATAATCTTTTTTTTTTTTCCATAGAGATCGGGTCTCACTACATTATGCAGGCTGGATTCCAACTCCCAGGCTAAAGCGATCCTCTTGTCTCAGCCTCTCGAGTAGCAGGAATACAGGCATTTGCCACCATGCCCAACTATAATCCATTTTTAATTAACTTTTGAATATGTTATGGCATAAGGGTTTTCTTGATTCTCCACACAAATATACAGTTGTTCCTGCATCATTTTTTTGAAGAGACTTTCCTTTCTCCATTAAATTGCCTTTTCATCTTTGTTGGAGATCAATTGCCCATGTTTGTGTAGGCCTGTTTCTGGACTCACTATTCTATCCTTTCTTCAGTACCACACCATTCTGATTAGTATAGCTTTTTAGTAAATCTTGAAATCAGGTAGTGTATGCCCTCTAACTTTTTTTTTTCTCTCTTTAAAATTGATTTGGCTATTTTCACTTGCCTTTTCATAAACATTTTTTAATCAGCTTGTTAGCTTTTTAAAAAGCCTGCTATTTTGATTGAAATGGTGTGAAATGTAGATCACTTAGGGGAGATTTGACATCTTAATATTGAATCGTGAACATGGTATGTCCCTTTTTTTAAAAAAATTTTTTTTAAGACAGGGTCTCACTTTGACCTCCAGGGCTCAAGCGATCCTCCCATCTCAGCCTCCCCAGTAGCTGGGACTATAGGTGCATACCACCGTGCCTGGCTAATTATTATTATTATTTTTATTTTTTAGAGATGGAGTCTTGCCATGTTGCCCAGACTGGTCTTCAACTCCTGGTATCAAGCGATCTTCCTGCCTCAGCCTCACAAAGTACTGGGATTATAGGCGTGAGCCACTGAGGCTGGCCCTTTCATTTATTTAGAGATCTTATTTAGTTTATCCCAAATGTGCTTGTCTGTTTTGATTGTGATTTAATGTATGCAACACCTATTCTAGGACAGGCAAAGTACAAAGTGCCTTACACTTAATCTCCCATAATTACTTCCTGAACATGGATTGTTCTCACTGTGTTCAGATGTCATAACTGCACCTGAGCGTTACAGAGCCAACAAATGTTGGAACTGGGATTCAAAGGAGATCTGGTCACTCCAAAGGCCATGCTCTTAGTCTCTAGTAGTCAAGATAACACATTTGAGAATTCTGTAGATAAATATTTAAAGACATTTTTAGCAATTGTTGCATGCTTGTTTCTCACCTCCTGTCTCCCTCAACCAAAAATAAACACATAAATTGTATGAGTGGATAGATGTATCTGTGGATGAATAGATTCGTCTTTAATTCACCATCTCAAACTCACAGTGGACTTGCGTACTATTAGAAAATCATGTTAGGATTATCTTTGAAATGCATTTTAATTAGCCTTGGTTTTTTTTTCCTGTTATCTATCTCATCTAGATATCATCAAGCATAAAGTACATCTTGTACTATCAGCATCACATAGGAAATCATTAGCATTCCCCAGAGTTGTCTGATCACATGCCGTCCCATTGATGTGTTGGTCACCTGACCCCATCATCGTTCCCTGCATCTCTGAGGAGGTCTAAGAATGTGACCTACTTGGATGTCACTTGTTAAAAGTTGTCTGGAACTTTAGTTCTGCCTAATGGTTTTTTCCTTCCTTTAAAAGACAAGAAAAATGAATGGGCTGTTTTATAACCCCCTTTCAATCCTCTGATCTTCAGAGAGAAAAATGTTAAAAGGCATGATGCAGCCGTTTTATGTTGCAGTTTATAATCTAATTAAGTGTATTTTATCCAGATCATTATGGACTTCATTAGAGCTCTGGACTTTTTGTAAGAAAGATGATGAGTTAGATTTATGTAGAATCATTTGGGTATTTTAAATGTTGTGATCATGCCAGCAGTGCCTGATTAAAAAACATTCAAATCTGCCTATCTGATTTAGTTGGTCATTTAATTTTGGAAGGCTCTTGCTTCCAATTTTGCTCACTTTTTTTGTAAGCATACAGTTTCAGCATGATTAATAAGAGAAGTTTGTTGTTTGGGGAGAGTACCATTTGGGAATGATTCTTTTTAGTAGCCTATATACTATTTGAACATTCTGATACATATGGGAAATAAAACATCTAATGCAATTGGCATAATCTAGGTCAAAAAGAAATGAAATTACATTTTTCTTTTTTTTTTTTGTACTGCAGAAGAAATTAATTTTATGGCCTACAGTTTAATTGCTATTTTTTTCTGGTGTCAGGTATAAGCATTTAATCTATAAATTGATTGGAAAACGGAAAGTGACTCATGTTAGTCTTAGTTACATTATTTGAATGTAAATAGTCAAGAGTATTTTTACTCTGTTTTAGATATGAGGACCAACTTCTGTGTTACTCCCTAGTCTGTTATATTAAAAAATAAGTTAATATTGGCTGGGTGAGGTGGCTCATGTCTATAATCCCAGCACTTTCAGAAGCAGAGGCTTGTGGATTGCTTGAGCTCAGGAGTTCGAGACCATCCTGTGCAATGTGGTGAAACCCTGTCTCTGCAAAACATATAAAAATTAGCTGGGTATAGTGGGAGACACCTGTGGTCCCAGCTACTCAGGAGGTTGAGGTGATGAGCCTGGGAGGTGGAGGCTGCAGTGAACTGTGACTGCGCCATTATACTCCAGCCTGGGTGGCAGAGTGGGACCTTGTCTCAAAAAAAAAAAAAAAGGAGTAAGAAAAAAAAAGAAGTTAATATTAAGCTCTGCTTAACAAACATCTCATCTTTCCAAAGAATAGTACTTGGTATGTCTTCCTCTTCGTAATTTCATATTTTCTGAATCAAGTTGTGTCTGTAGCCTTGAATTTGCCCATCCTTTTACCTCTCATCATATGATCCTAGTAACATTCATAGCTTATCCCCATTTGGATAATTTTTTCAATCAGTTTACTATTGGTCCCAAGCAATCCTGAATTGTTATTCAGTAAGGGACAATATTAAAATATAATTTGATAGTTAATATTAGGTGGAACATTGGTTTTGCCTGACTCCTTTAAGCCATGAAACTTACACCTCCTCTTGGGAGGAGCTCGCTACCTCCCAGCTTGTTTATATACATGTGTGCACCTGCATAATCAAACAAACACACTATCCAACTGGTACAACACAACAAAAATCTTCCGGCAGTCTCAGCGTTCACCATTTTAGTTCTAACCTGCTTACAAAGACCCAATTTGTTATCTTCATACCCCTTAATTTCTCATCTTCATCATGTCTGGCCTAGAAATTCCTTTTGCTTTTTATGACCTCACCATTTACGTTGGACCTGACACTTAGAACCTCTTCTTCATTTATATACCTTGGCTTTCTTCCTCAACAGTGATAGAGATTGTTCCTCTAGGCAGACTACCTTATATTATTCTAGGTGAAAAACCACCCAGTTTGGCCTGGCTTTGAGGCCCTCATCTTTTGCCCAACCTTTTATGGATGATGCCCTACTCTCTGTCTTGTAGCTGTGTCTTAAGAAATATGTTGTACATTGAGTCTCTCTGAATTCATAATTGGGTAACATTATCTCTGTGAACTATTTTTGTGTGTGTTGCACTGGGCTACCTGGCTGGAATCATCTTGGCACTACTACTTCAGTGTTTTTGCGTGATCCTCTTAATTAGAGAAAGAAAGAAAAATTCTAGACTATGAGTCTAATTAAGGCCTATATGGAACCTCTGATCTTTCATTTCAAAGTGAAAAGAACACTAGCTTGTAGTTTATGGCCCTAATCTCTAAGTATTTCGTGAAAGGTTGTTTGTTGGTTATATTAATGCGTTCACTAGTTGCTTTCAGACTAATACTAAATGGTACTGCTTTTTGATATTATAGTCAACTTCTGTTTACTTTTGTTCAGTATTTACTACGTCTATTGAAAAATTTGTATATTTTATCTTGGTGGAAACCACTGTTTATTAGTGGGCTATTGAAGTGGTAAGTAATGACTGAAACATTGAGATGGGTTATGCAGTGCTTCTTCCTTCCGAGGGTTTGTGAGCCACTGAGTAGGTGTGGGAGGAATCTCATAAGCTGACTTAAGTATTAGAAAATGATAATTTACAATGTGTTTTTATATTTTTTACTCATTTTACTTGAAATGCTAGTTTGTTTTTCAGTTACAGGCAGAAGCCTAGCCTAGCTGAACTGGCACAGCGCAGTTGACGTCTGTTAAATACATACTGTGTTTTTTGTGTTTAAAACACATAGTATGGGCCGGACGCGGTGGCTCACGCCTGTAATCCCAGCACTTTGGGAGGCCGAGATGGGCGGATCACGAGGTCAGGAGATCGAGATCATCCTGGCTAACACGGTGAAACCCCGTCTCTACTAAAAATACAAAAAAAAAAAAAAATTAGCCAGGCGTGGTGGCGGGCGCCTGTAGTCCTAGCTACTGGGGAGGCTGAGGCAGGAGAATGGCGTGAACCCGGGAGGCAGAGCTTGCAGTGAGCTGAGGTTGCACCCCTGCACTCCAGCCTGGGCGACAGAGCGAGACTCCATCTCAAAACAAACAAACAAACAAACAAAAAAAACACATAGTATATATTTAACGACTCTGTTTTTTGTGAGGTGGCTTTGATAAGTCTTCCCCTTGCAGAGTCTAAGAAGCACAGAGTCGTTTATTGTCAGGATACTTGTGGCCTGCAACTAGAACTGGGCTCTTGAAGGATCTCAGGGTTGGGCTCATGCTCACACTTGCTCCTCCCCTCAAAATGCCTCCAACCCCATTTTCCTTGTTTCTCAGTCTCTTAGGGCATCTGTACATAATGCTGCATGCCTGCTATGGTCTCCTTTTACTAAGAACTAGCCAAATCCTCTCGTCGTATGCCACAGTCCAAACCCAGTCTCGCTTCCTTAATTAATAACTATCGCCTCCTGTTTGGACAAAAACCATCCCAGATGGACAATGTCCTGGTTTGTTCAGGCAATGGTAAGTGAGATAAGATCTGTTATCTTGACAAAAAAGGAATCCCACAACAGACATTACTTTGTGACTTAATTTTCTTGAAATTGATTTTAAGAACACTTTTTTTTTTTTGCTTTAAATACTTTATCTCATTTGAGCCTTACAATAACCTTGTGAAGTTGCTATCATTCTCCCTGTTTGCTGATGAGGAAACGGGTCCAGAGAACTTAAGGAGGCTGCTGAAGTTCACAAGGTTAGGAAGTGGTGAAGCCCAGACTTGGAATGGGCTGTCGGGCTTCCATCCTCTAGAGCCCTTACTACTGTATACTATATTACATCTCACTGCAGCAAAATACAGTTTTTTTGCATAATGTGTGCATTATGTTCCGTAGAAATGGCTGTAATGTGATATATTCAGTCATGCCCCATTAATGGACCCAGTATTTTTACTTTTTTGTCACTAAAATATGCGATAGACATTCTAGTGCATACAGCTTTGCACACTGGCCCTTTTATTTTGACTGAAAAGGCTCTTCAAAGTAGAATTTTCTTTTCTTCAAGGCCACGTGAATTTTATATTCTAGAAGGTGTTGCCAAATTTCCCCAAGAAATATTGTTTGTAATGGATTATAATTTCACCCACAATGTATTTTACCAGTGAAATGCTTGAAATGAAATATTTTTCCAATCTACTGGGTAAATAGTGTTAACTAACGTGAGTTTGCATGTTCTTGAGGTTGAAGACCATTTTATATACTGGTTATTTGCAATTCCTTTTTTGTGATTCACGTGTACTATTCATTTTTTCATTTTCATGGTGAATTTTTGGTCTTTTCCTTATCGATTTATAGGTGTTCTTTGTGACATCAACACTTTGTTCAACATTTTACGGATATTTTCGCTAGGATGTCACTTGTCTCTTGACTTCAGTTACTAACAAATTTTACATTTTTTACACTGGAATATGACTATGTAGGTTTTTTTAAAAAATGCCCTGTGGGTTTCCTGTCGTGGGTATCTTTGCTTATATCAAAGCTATATAATTATTTTCACATTTTTTTTTTTTTCCTTCTGCTACAGGGTCTCACTCTGTTGCCAGGCTGGAGTACAGTGGTAGGATCATGGCTCACTGTAGCCTTGACCTCCCTTGACTCAGGCGATCCTCCTGTCTCAGCCTTCTGAGTAGTTAGGATTATAGGCACACACCACCATGCCTGGCTGATTTTTTTGTGTTTTTTGTAGAGATGTAGTTTCATCATGTTGCCCAGGATGGTCTTGAACTCATAGGCTCAAATGATCTACTCCCTCAGCCTCCCAAAATGCTGGGATTACAGGCATGAGCCACTGTGCCCAGGCTGGTGAATAATTTTTAAGATTGAGATATTTAGTCTATCTAGAAATTCTTTTGTGTATGCTTTGAGGTAATACAATCCAGCTTTCTTTTTTCCACAGGTGGAGATGCACATATGCTAATGCCTTTTTATTATACAAATGGTTCTTTTCCCCACTCAATTGAAAAGTCACAATTGAGTGATTTAACACTTGGCTTAAAGTTATCATAACACTTGGCTTTTTTCTGTGCTATCTGGTTAATTGTTCAACTTTTCTGTCCCTGTTCTAGAATCATTCTCTTTTCTTTTCTTTTTCCCCATGGTTTGTAGTAAGTTTGGTATCTGGCAAGACAATTCCACTCCCACTATTCTTTTGCACACTTTTCTTTACTGTTCTGTATGGACATTATTGCAAATGAGCTTTAAACTTACTTTACCAAGTTGGAGAAGAAAAAATACCACTGGATTCTAATTGGAATATATGGAATTAAATGTATGTATTAAGTTTAGAAAGCATGACATTTTAAGAAAGTAACCTCCTCTTCAGGAACATATGTTTATCTTTTTGTTCATATGGTATTTTATATCTTTCAATAATATTTTCTGTTTGTTATATAGAGTTTATATATATTTTGTTGTTAAATTTATACTGTGTGGCATTTGATATAAGTTGCTACTTTTTATAAAATATTTTTCATTTGATTTTCTAGCTGTTTATCTCTGGTACAGAGAAAACTAATGATTTCTTTGTATATTTGTCTTACATCTTTGTATCTAAGTACATTCTCTTATTAGAGTTGGATTTTTTATTAAAGTTGGATTTTCAAATTATGTAATCTTATCTGTAAATAAAGATCACCTGCTACATATATGTATATAAAATTTCTTCTTACATCAGCAAAATATATATATTAAAAAAATATATAAAATATATATATTTTATATATATATATTTTATTGCATTTTAAGTTCTAAGGTACCTGCACACAACGTGCAGGTTTGTTACATATGTATACATGTGCCATGTTGGTGTGCTGCACCCATTAACTCATCATTCACATTAGATATATCTCCTAATGCTATCCCTCCCCACTCCCACCGCCCCATGACAGGCCCCGGTGTGTGATGTTCCCCTTCCTGTGTCCAAGTGTTCTCATTGTTCAATTCCCACCTATGAGTGAGAACATGCTGTGTTTGATTTTCTGTCCTTGCGATAGTTTGCTGAGAATGATGGTTTCCAGCTTCATCCATGTCCCTACAAAGGACATGAACTCATCCTTTTTTATGGCTGCATAGTATTCCATGGTGTATATGTGCCACATTTTCTTAATCTAGTCTATCATTGATGGACATTTGGGTTGGTTCCAAGTCTTTGCTATTGTGAATAGTGCCGCAATAAACATACGTATGCATGTGTCTTTATAGCAGCATGATTTATAATCCTTTGGGTATATACCCAGTAATGGGATTGCTGGGTCATATGGTATTTCTAGTTCTAGATCCCTGAGGAATTGCCACACTGTCTTCCGCAATGGTTGAACTAGTTTACAGTCCCACCAACAATGTAAAAGTGTTCCTATTTCTCCACATCCTCTCCAGCACCTGTTGTTTCCTGACTTTTTAATGATCGCCATTCTAACTGGTGTGAGATGGTATCTCATTGTGGTTTTGATTTGCAGTTCTCTGATGGCCAGTGGTGATGAGCATTTTTTCATGTGTCTGTTGGCTGCATAAATGTCTTCTTTTGAGAAGTGTCTGTTCATATCCTTTGCCCACTTTTTGATGGGGTTGATTTTTTTCTTGTAAATTTAAGTTCTTCATAGTTTCTGGATATTAGCCCTTTGTCAAATGGGTAGATTATAAAAATTTTCTCCCATTCTGTAGGTTGCCTGTTCATTCTGATGGTGGTTTCTTTTGCTGTGCAGAAGCTCTTTAGTTTAATTAGATCCCATTTGTCAATTTTGGCTTTTGTTGCCATTGCTTTTGGTGTTTTAGACATGAAGTCTTGCCCATGCCTATGTCCTGAATGGTATTGCCTGGGTTTTCTTCTAGGGTTTTTATGGTTTTAGGTCTGACATGTAAGTCTTTAATCCATCTTGAATTAATTTTTGTATAAAGTGTAAGGAAGGGATCCAGTTTCAGCTTTCTACATATGGCTAGCCAGTTTTCCCAGCACCATTTATTAAATAGGGAATCCTTTCCCCATTTCTTCTTTTTGTGAGGTTTGTCAAAGATGAGATAGTTGTAGATATGCAGCATTATTTCTGAGGGCTCTGTTCTGTTCCATTGGTCTATCTCTCTGTTTTGGTACCAGTACCATGCTGTTTTGTTTACTATAGCCTTATAATATAGTTTGAAGTCAGGTAGCATGATGCCTCCAGCTTTGTTCTTTTGGCTTAGGATTGACTTGGTGATGCGGGCTCTTTTTTGGTTCCATATGAACTTCAAAGTAGTTTTTTCCAATTCTGTGAAGAAAGTCATTGGTAGCTTGATGGGGATGGCATTGAATGTATAAATTACCTTGGGCAGTATGTCCGTTTTCACAATATTGAGTCTTCCTATCCATGAGCATGGAATGCTCTTCCATTTGTTTGTGTCCTCTTTTATTTCGTTGAGCAGTGGTTTGTAGTTCTCCTTGAAGAGGTCCTTCACATCCCTTGTAAGTTGGATTCCTAGGTATTTTATACTCTCAAAGCAATATTTTATAAAGAGTCAATAATGGTTATCCTAGTCCAGTTTGTCATTTTAATAAAAATGGCTTTAACACTTCACCACTGAGCATTAAGTCTGCTATTGAATTTTGCTGAATGGTTCTTATCATGTTTAAGTAATTTTTACCTTTCCTATTTAAGTATTTTTAACAGACATATTTATTGACCTAATTTGTTGCACACCTGTACATATGGGACCTCATTACCTCTCTTCTGCAGCCTTGATAGAATAAAGAGTTCTGGTAAAATTGCTAACTGGGCTGGAAATCAGTTTGTAAGCATTTTTTTCCTCAGTGACCAGTGACCTCTAGCCTCTCTGCCAAGCATGAGACGGAGCCTGACTGATCTATAAATTAGTTCTGGTTTTACGTACCTACAAAATTTCTTGCCCAAACAACCCATTTATTTGCAAGTTCTTGTACTGGCATCATCATTACCCAGTTTGTGCACATTTCTCTGAAGGTAAAATAGACATCATGCGATATCTCCATTTGACATGGAGTTCTCATGTTTACTGTATGAACACCTGTGTATCTTACCCAGAACATGTTATTTTGGTGTGTATGGACATGGAGTTGTTTAAACTATTTTCTATAAATTGAACCAGGAATCATTATAATTTGCACTGAGAACTAAATTGAGGTAATGAATTTTTTTTTGCACAGAAACTCCTCTTAATTTATAAAAATGCACTGTGAATCAGTTCAAGTTGGTCTTTATTCGTAGAACTGTTGAATTAGAAGAAAACTGGAATATATAATATTTTGTGGAATGATCTCTCTCCGTTTTAAAAATTGAAATCTTAGACTAAAGAGGCTGTGAAAGAACCTCACTGAGGTGTGAGAGAAAAATAAACCACACCAGGAACCACGTGCGGACACTGCAGCAGGTAGAGCGAGTCCTGAATATTCCTAAAGGTGAATGTGCGAACAGGCTTCCCTGTACCTGGAGATCCCCGAAACTGTTGGTGCGAGTCATTATCCAGTCCACTCTCTGTAGCCAGGTTTTCTCCTCTGGCAGGGCTCTAACTCCAACTCCAGTGTTTGGGAGGAAGGGGAAGGCACGCTGTGAGAGCTTTGGGAAGCTGCCAGGGAAGAACTACCTCCTCAGACAATTACTTTCTGTTGTGCTTGACTGCACATATTATTCATCATTGGCTGAGCATGTTCATCATAAATGCTGTTTAATCACATTTTAAAGGTAAACAGCATTTATCAAATTATCATCTGGTGTCTTGCTCCAAGTCACCACTGATTCTTCACCAGAAACCTATGCCCTGCAGGAGAACGTGTGTGTTTATTTGTTGTCACATGATCTGTCCAAAGGCTGAGAGCCACACTCATGTCCCATTGGGTTATTTCCTGTGTTCCCAGCCATTCCTCATCTTAAAATAGTCACCTTGTTTTGGTTGTGTTGGTTCTATCTCAAGATATAGTTTCAATATGGGCAGGACTTAATTTTGCTTTTTTGGATCTTTCTGAATGTCTGTAGTGGGTGTTGAAGCATTTTATGTTCAGAACATATGAGCATTTTAATTGATTGGCTTCTACTGCTTTACATAGTACTGTGTGCTCAGTAAATATTAGTCTGAATAAAGGCAATGCATGAGGAGACTTTGGTAGATTATGTGATTTTGTGTGAATATCATAAATTCTTAAATTTCTTCCTTTGTCTTGTTTTTACATGAAAGGTAGTAGATGAAGCAGAGTTAATCCATGGAGTAATCGATGCTGTGTATATGTGTACATGTGCATACTTAAGTGCAGGTGTTGGCATGTGTTTATTTATGTGTAGATAGAGGTGGGGATAAAGAAGTAGTGACAATGGCTGAAAAAAGAGACAAACATTTCCCAGTGTGTTCTGGAAATTGTGTTAGGCCACTCGGACCATTTGATTTTTCATTTATCCCTAAGAGTATATTTACGTATTTATTAAGAGTAGCCACTATTCAGAGCCCCTGGAAATAGCCTCAACAAAATGAGTAAAAAATTAATCTCCAGTAAAAAACATAGCAGAGAATGTGTGGTCAAAGCTTTGTTGAAGGTAAATACAGGGTTTCTGGGGTTGGGGGAAGACAAAACAGGGCAGCCATACTAGAATGGGTTCAGAAAGGCTTTGAAGTGTGTGTTGAGCTTAGTCCTGAAGATTAAGAAGGAGGTAACTTACCAAAAAGGGTGCAAAGTGGTTCTATACAAAGGAAACCGTGTAAGAGAATGATTGATTAACGCAGCTCTGATTTCTTCTGGGGTGATCAGGGAGAAATATTCTGAACTTAAGACATCATAGGAGGTTCCTGTGTTAGAATCGGTTCACTAATAATGCGAAGTCCTTACATGGAGAGAGGTAATTGAACGGTGTTCCCAAAGAGCAGACCGGTGCCACTGAGTGCTCCGTGGCTTGGAGTGTGAACCTGTGGAAGGTGCTGAGCTCCTCACTGCTTAATCTGCAGTTAGGAATTTTTACAAACCCTGAGTATGTGGCTCTTGAATTACAGTTATATTCTTATACGTTCCCATGGATTTTCCTCCACAGTTTTTTTCCTGTCATATTAATTTGTTTCCAATCTTAGTTTCTCTCCATTCTTAAAATATTTAGTATATATCTGTGAATCCAGAGAAACGTAAGTATTTGTTACTGCTGGAGAGTGTTATAAATTCAAATGATGAGCTATATAAAGGTAGAATTTAGAGGGAAATATTAGCTTTTCTTTGTAGCTGTGCCTTCCAGAACACACAGAAAACTTGAAGCTTTCTGCAGTTAGAGGATTATGGGCATTCAAATCAAATGGACTTGGGGTCCCATCCTCAAAATGTGACTTATCAGTCATAAGACCTTGAACAAATTGCTTAATCTTTTTGAATCCATCATTTTCTCAACTATGAAATGAAAGCAATAAAACCAATTTTGTGGTGGAGAGTGTTAGAAAAAGTGTTTCAGAGTGTACCTCATAAGGGCCCAGGAAATACGCAGGTAGCAATTTTTATTGGTAGTTTCATCTAGGAATACAAATTATGATTAAAGCGTATGTATTTAGTCACCCTTTTTTTTTTTCCCAATAAAGATTACATACCATCTAGATTGAGCTAGGTATAACTCTGAGTCCGTCCATTGGAAGAGAGGTTATACCCCCTCCAATTCTCTTCCAGAACCAGAAGTCATGATTTTTCTGATATACCCAGTTTATGTGATCACTCAGGCTATGAATGTTTTTCTCTCTCTTCCTTTAGCGTTACCTACTTAGAGAGTATGAACATTGCTGAGTTTACCCACTACAGGTCTTGGACTTATCGTGTGCATACGACGTAGGGCCCTGGCAACACTGGGATACATGCCCAGGCACACACACACAGAGACTTTCCTTTCACAAAAGAAGTTTAACTTGGGACAAGCTAATAAGAAACTTACTATTAGAAACTTCAGAATGCTGTTATGTAGGTTTCAGCATATGCAGAATTTTGTCTTTTGATGATTAGTATTTTTATTTTGAAGTCCGCACTGAGGAGAGAGAGTGAGAAACATGAAGTCATTTCACTCTGTGGGGACTCTAAAGAGCTTCTTTCCACCCTCAGGATGGTGGGTCCAGCGTGTGTTGCTTAAGGGTGGGAATATTTTCTGGGAAGTGCATCTTCAGGCAACTTCATAGCTGAGCAAACATCATAGAGGTACCTACACAGACCTGGATGGTATAGCCCACTATACACCTGGGCTGTGAAGTATCGTCTCTTGCTCCTGGGCTATAAACCCGAACAGCATGTTACTGTACTGAATGCTGAGGCAATTTTAACACAAGGTTAAGTATTTGTGTATCTAAACATAGAAAAGGAATAGTAAAAATACAGTATTATAATCTTATGGGACCACCATTGTATGTGTGTTCTGTCCTTGACTGAAATGTCATTATGCAGTGCGTGACTATATATCTGTCTTTTTTCTACCATGTGGTTCTTGGAGAATTTATATATATCAGAGAGGGAAAAAGACACAACCATCTATCTTCTAGTTATTTGCTATTTGTGCGATATTTTACATGATTTTCAAACATATTTCTAAGCAGCAAATATTAAGATGTGTTACAATCAGTGACATGTAGACCACAAAATTCTAGCGCTCTATAAGAACTGAGGAATCAATGACTACAGGAGTTTTCAGAATATTTTACCACCTCAGCACCTTTTCAAATGAAAGGAGATACGGGAGCCCCATGAGTCATTTTGTTCTGGGGAATGGAGTCGGTAACTACTGGTTTAATATAAGCCCCAGCTGAGGACCTTGACATCCAGAAGGATTTATCCCCACGTGGCTAAACTTAAATTGTTTCTCTGTTTGGTGGCTGGCTGCATTTTGGGTTAATTTGGCAAATTCCTACGAGAAAGCAGTGCTCAGACGGCAGCATCAGCTTCATTGAGATACTTCTTCTAAGAGAAGTGAGACGTTGGGTCAGCACCATTCTGAGCCCAAGGTCACATTTTCGTGAGAAAAAAGATAAGCGGCAGCACTTGCGTTTGTGGTGGCGAAGCACAAGTATTTAATTTCTGAATAAGCTGTGATGGTGGGGTGTCTGTGCCAGGAAGCTTGAATCCGGGTCATGTTCCTACTTATTGAACCCCTCCGGAGCTACATAAATCCTCTTCTGTTTTCATCTTTGTTGTTATTAATATCCCGGTTGTATATGTAATACAGGAAATATCCAAAACAGCCCAATATTAATTGCAAACCACGTGTTAGAATACAGCTATTTGAAAAGTGAATGCTATTTCTGTTTCATGATAGGATCTTGTAAGGTTGACTGAATAAATACAGTTTAATACTAGCCGGGAGAAATGTCTTACTTAATTCTATTACATCACAGATCATGTCGGACGTTAACTGTAACTTACGCTAAGACAATGGTACTAATCAATGCTGCGTTAATGTTGTTACTTTTCTAGTACTTGAAATAAGCTTGGGCTTAGCCACTCTTCTTCTCATATCCCTTTTGATCTAGTGGCAAGATGTTGAGAACTATTGGGCCTGGTCTGTGTCTTTGAAATACAATATAGGTCATTGGCAGAGAGTACTGAACCTGCGCCCTTGGCTCCATTACAGCATGACCTAATCAATTGAGAAAACGCCTCTCCACGGCTTTTCTCTGGATGATTCTCCCCTCCTTACTACCCTGTGACTGATGTTTGTCATCTTGTGGCTCAACTAAACTGTCGCCAGTTACTCCTACTCTTTTGATCTCACATGCTGTGAGTCTTACCCATTGGCGCTTAGTAGAATTTATGGAATCAATTTGTGTAAATGGAGACATGAAATCTCAGTTTGTAGTATCAGTTTGAGGGATACAGCAATCCCACATTTCGAAGGCTGCTACAGATCATTCACAGGTGTTAGACTTATTACAGAGCTGTGTCTTTCTTATTCCCCAAAGCCTTTGCCACTTTGGTTTTATATGTTGGTTTCGGTAAATACACATTTTCTAATATGCATGTTGTAGACAGTATAGTGAAGTGTGGTGGGTGCATATCTGCATATACCTATGTTTACATCTAGATGAACATATAAATAAAATATACATCTCAATATGCATGTATATGGGGATGAGGGCATATAAATATGAATAACTTTGTTTTGGTCAGGACAGAGCAACCGACTACAATTGCCAGGATAATTTTTGTAATTCAACAAGAGAGATTTTAAATTGTTATTACACATTGCTATTTGTATTTTTTAGGATGCAAATCCATGCTGAAACCTCCAAATTTCCACGGTCTATGTTTTGTTCCTTCACTTATAACTGTGTCTGCTTCTCCATGGTAGGAGAAAACAAGGAAAGGAAATTGTGACTTTAAAATATTAAACTCTGGTAGAGACTTGAACGGCCAATTTTTGTTTATTTGTTTGTTCTTTTTCCCATCCTTTCCCCAGTGTTTTTTTCCTGAAAGTCTTGCCTATTTTATGCAAATAACATGTATTTTAATTGGCAACATTTTACTTTCCCTGTTTCTACTTACAAAATTTCCACAAAGATATTTGTTTTAAATTTATAGAATGCAAAAACTAAATTCATTACAAACTAAGGCTAGGAGCCTTTAGACCCTGGAGCACAGTCATGCAGGAACAGAAGAATGAGTATGAAGTGGAAATCCCGAGAGATCCCCTAGTTGTAAGAACTCTAACAGATGCCCCCATGTCACTGATGTCGGAAAGATGTTGGAGCTAGGCAAAGCCTGATAGAATGGGTGATTTGTGAAATTTTTATACAGCGATCACCTAGAAAACACTTTTCTAATTTTCTTTTGATAGGATTCGTATTTGTGTCGAGAAGTGTTTTTTAACGTCTAGAATACAGTGGCCTGAGAGTTACCCGAGGCACATGTGGATAGGTACGTCCTGGCTCCCACCAGGATGCTCGCTCCATTTTGTGTCTCAGCCTTCCGTCGAAAGTTTTCATTTGTTCGTTTGCTTTTTAAGAAAGAGTTTTTGATAATTCTGTCTTAGAAGGATGAGTAGTTGTCTCATTAAGAAGACTCTTGGTGGTAGCATGGTCTGACTAGCTTAAGGTACAGTCTTTCCTCTTTGAGTTTCCTGTGGTTTTACTAACTCTTTGCTTTCCCTCTGACATAAAAACTAGAAGCCATAAATTACGGATAAATTCCACTACGTAAAATAAGAGATCTTTAAAACTCTGCATGGCAAAGCCACTATAAGACAAGTAAAAAACTAAACTGGGAGAAAAATAGTTGCAGCTTATATCTCAGAGAAAAGATAATTTCCCTAATGCTGGGGTTGGGAACTACAGCCCAAGGCCCATATCTGGCCTGCTGCCTGTTTTTATCAATCAAGTTTTATTAGAACACAGCCACACTCATTTGTTTGCATATTGTTTGTGGCTGCTTTCACCCTATGGTGGCAGAATTGAATAGCTGCAACAGGGACCTTATGGTCCACAAAACCAACAGTATTTATTATCTGGCACTTCACAGAAAAGTTTGCCAACTCTTGCTCTGATGAATAAGGAGTTGCTACAACTACAAATCAATATGAAAAGACCAACAAACCAGTAGAAAAATAGGCAGGAGATATGTTTGTTAGTGTCTCAGGAAAACAAAGCAATAGCAAACAGGTTTCTCCACAAATGCTTCTTCTCCCCAAATGGGGCAACTTACAGAGGTGAGGGCAGGATTTTGGGGACAAAAAGGGAATGACATTGTGACGCTCGGAGACCTGCAAATGTGGGAAGCTATTACTATCCCTGGGATTGAAGGCAGGGACAAAGAGAGAGAACGGCATTGCCGGAGCAGGAAAGATGGGTCATCCGAAGAAGGCTGTGATCATGGAGGATGTAGCCACTGTGAGAAATATGTCCTTGAAGCAGGATGGAAATGGGAAAGATATCTCTCCTTCCACCTGCTAACCTCCTGCTAGTGCCTCCCAGAAGTTATCAGAGGAGGGAGTCCAGGTGATGCTGTCCTCAGGGGTGAGCTTCCTATGACACAGATGAAAAGCTCCTCAGCTCATTCATAATAAGAGCAGTGCAAATGAATATGATACTGAAATGTCACTTTTAACCTATCAGATTGGCAAACAGCAGAATGTTAACACCTTGTATTGGCAAGGGTATAGGGAAACAGGTACTATATAGATACAGATATGTATATATGAAGGTAATATCTTTCAAAATTATAAATTCATATATCCTTTGACTCAGCAATTACATTTATAGGAATTTAGCTAATACATGATACTTTAGCTAATACATGAAATGACCTATGTGTAAGGTTATTTATTGCAACCTTGTTTGTAATAGGAATACAATGGAGATAACCTAAATGTCTATCTGTAGGGAACTGGTTATATAAATTATGCTACATCCATTCAAGGGAATTCTCTGAAGCCATAAAAAACGATGAGGAAGCTCTTTGTGTCCTCATATGAAATCAACGCTCAGTTATGCCATTAAGAGTACAGAGAATTTGTCTCAGCTTTGGCTTTCATAACTAAATGATGATAATAAAATAAAAGGCGAGGCGTGGTGGCTCATGCCTATAATCCCAGCACTTTGGGAGGCCGAGGCGGGCGGATCACGAGGTCAGGAGATTGAGACCATCCTGGCTAAGATGGTGAAACCCCATCTCTACTAAAAGTACAAAAAAAAAAAAAAAAATTAGCCGGGCTTAGTGGCAGGCGCCTGTAGTCCCAGCTACTCAGGAGGCTGAGGCAGGAGAATGGCGTAAACCCGGGAGGTGGAGCTTGCAGTGAGCCGAGATCGCACCACTGCACTCCAGCCTGGGCAACAAAGCGAGACTCCGTCTCAAAAAAACAAAACAAAACAAAAAAAAAAAAAAGAGAGAAAGAAGAGTACAGAGAAAATAAAATAGGATGTGTAGTTTATGGTTATTTGTGTAAAAAATGAAGAAAAGGAAGATATAAAGCATGTTCTTGTGTATGTATAAAATAACATCCCAAGAAATGATGAAATTGGATGCCTCTGGAGAAGGAGACTGCGGGGGTGGATGGGGGGATGGTCATCCTGTTGTGTCTTTTGAATACTGATTAAAATAAGTTTAAAATCTCCTTAAGGGCCAGGTAAACAGCTTTCATCTGAAAATTTGAGAAACATCTCAAAATTCTAGTCCCTGCCTGTGGCTTTCAATAATTATCAGATAAGATCTGAAAAGCTGATTGGCAAATCCAATGTGAAATGATAACTTGAAGGACTTCCAGGAGGAAGCCCTGTCTCCTCTTCAACCCAATTTTAACCTTGGCCTGTTGGTATAAGTCCCAGGTACTGTTTCTTAAATTTTTTTCTTCAACATACTTAAAATCAATGACACTGTATATTTTTTAAATGCTCCGTCATTTGCACTTTCAACTGGTTCTGGCTGCTCCCATCTGTTGGTTCGATTTATTGAAAGTTTTGTAGGTGTGTCATCCCTCCTTGTCACTTAAGACAGGTACATGCTTTAGTTGTTTAGAGCTGCATCTTTAGAATATTTATTTTGATGTGGAGAAAATGGTGGATTATCAACAAGTAAACACCTGGACAATCAGAGGATCAAAATAAAAGACAAATCTGGATTTATAAGTCTCTCTCTTTTATTATTTTTTTTCTGGGCAAGATTTGCCTGAAGTGGAAAGAGTTGAATATGGATGAGCGCATGTTGCAGACTGATTTTCAGCCGTAATTGCTTTGCAGCAGGAAAATAGGCAAAGAAAGGAGATTGGGAATATAGGCAATCAAAGACGAGGTTCTCACACCTGCCAGATACCATGTGTAGCATACAGGCATCCGCAGAGAAATGGAAATTCTCTTATCCTGTGACAAGATGTTCCAATTAATGCGATTCGGATACATCTGTCTGCCCGTAGCTCACCTCGTGAAACGACAGTCCCGTCCTGCTGCTGGAGTCAGTCAAAAGGCTCATTTTGTGAGTGGCACAGCAGTCATCCTGGGAACTGTGCCGCGGGGCTGTGACCCTCCTTCCTTTCGGTTTACTTCAACTCAGAAACTTCCTTTCCGTTTATTTCAACTACAGGGAACATCCTAGCTGGAAGGCTTGCAGCAAGATGGCATTGAGATCATAAACGCCATTCTGAAAGCATATGTTCTTCAGACACGTGGCTGTGGAATGGGGGTTGACATGGCAAATTGCCAGGTTTTGATTGCTGAAACAAAGATATGTTTACTATATTAATTTTGGCATGAAAAAGAGTTGGACAGTGTATGGATCCTTTCAGGCCTTAACTTAGAATTGAGTTTAAACAGGGCCTCCTGGGTGATTTTATCTCCTGAGGCAGTGACCTGGAAGGGTAGGGTCAGGTGGGAGGCTGGGGAGACGTTTGCTGTGCCACAGGCTTTCCTCCTAATTTTATTTTTGAGGCCGGAACACTATGACGCTTCATACTGTCTGCATATATTGGGGGAGGAAGGTGTCTGTGTGTCTGTATTTTCTCTTATAAAGTATACTTATAAAGTAGCCAGGAGCTTCATACAAGCGAATTTGTGCGGCAGGGATCTGGCAGCAGGGGATGGAGAACTCTGGGAAAGGTGGGATTACATTGCAGCGTCGGCAAAGTACTAAGGATTGCCGCGGTCCTCCAGAAGGCCAAGGTCGTGCGTCTGCCATCAGTTCTTCACGCAGTCCGACAGTGCTGTGTGGAGCCAGCAGCCCCCAATTCCCTTATTTGCCCCAGCCTTGCTCACCTCTCACCTCCCTCTTCTGCACTCATTTGCCCCCAGCCATGCTCACCTCCACCTCTTCTGCAGATTTTTTGCACTGATGGTCTGTTCTCCACTTGTTCTCTGAGTCTTCATATATGAGACTTTTCCTGTCTTAACTAGCTGTGAACTCTTGAGCACATGAAACCAAGCTTTATTCTTTTCATGTTCTTTCTTCATTGTCTGTAAAAGAGCATGCCAATTAATTTTTGGCCTTGATTCATCTTTTTTGACTGTGACTCTTAACCAACTGGATCATAATCCCCTACAACCTGCTCCACTGGTCATATTTTTTGATGGAAGAAATTAGTTGGCACCTGAGTTGTACAGTTTTGCTGTAGGAATGTGGATGAATGTTATTTAGCGTGAAATAATACTTCCTCAAAGTTCAGATTCATAGGGAAAAAAAGGCTAAATGTTCCAAAAAGTGTGTATGTTATGATCAGACCCTTTCATGGAGTTACGTCTTCATTTGATCCACAAATAAAAATCTACTAGGATGCATTCTGTCTATGTACAACTTCTTAGAGGAAAGAAATTAACATTTAATGAGCTTCTGTTATTGCCAAGAACTGTCTGTGCTAGGCAATTTTTCATATACGTAATAATTTTTAAATTATTGCTCAATTCTATATATTTAATCTTTGCAGTGATATTCTGAAATATGATTATTTTAATTTCTTTGAAGTAAACCTTTTATTTTTGAGATAATTATAGATTCATATACAGTTGTAAGATAGAACACAGAGAGGACTTTGTAACCTTTATCTAGTTTCCTCAGATGGCAACATCTTGCAAAACTGTAAAACTATCACAACCAGAACACTGACATTTAAAAAAATTTTTAATTTATTTTTTAATTAATTAATTAATTTTTTTGAGGCAGAGTCTCACTCTGTTGCCCAGGCTGGAGTGCGGTAGCGTGATCTTGGCTCACTGCAACTTCCACCTCCTGGGTTCAAGCGATTCTCGTGCCTCAGCCTCACGAGTAGGTGAGATTACAGGCACGCGCCACCACGCCTGGCTAATTTTTGTATTTTTAATGGAGATGGGGTTTCACCATGGTTGGCCAGGCTGGTCTTGAACTCCTGACCTCACGTGATCCGCCTGCCTCGGCCTCCCAAAGTGCTGGGATTACAGGTGTGAGCCAGCACCCGGCCAGAACATTGATGTTTTGACATTTGATATGGTCAAGAAACAGGGCATTTCTATCACCACAAGAATTCCTCACGTTGCCCTTTTATAGATACATTCACTTTCCTTACATCCCAACCGCTCTTTAACCTGTAGAGCTACTAATCTGTACTCCATTTCTCTAATGTTGCCATTTCAAGAAAGTTGTATAAATAGAAAATGCAGTGTGTAACCTTCTGGGTTTTTTTTTCACTTAGGATAATAACTCTCCAGAGATTTATCCAGGTTGTTGCCCTTATCCCTAGTTTTTTTTTTATTACCAATTAGTATTCCATGGTGTGGATGGACCACAGTTTAACCTTTCACCCTTTGAAGGACATCTGTGTTGCTTCCAGTTTTTTATTACTATAAATAAAGTTGCTGTAAACATTCATGCACTGGTTTTATGGGAACATGGTTTTTCATGTCTTTGGGATAAATGCTCAGGAATGCAAATTGCTCGGTTGTATGCTAGTTGCATATTTAGCAGGTTTAGCTTGCAACTTGCAGCGATCCCTAAAGCATTCATGATTATCATTCTTATTATATACATTTGAGGAAATTAAAGCCTAGAGTAGTTAGTTCACATACCCAAAATTACATAACTAGTTAAGTAGTGGAGCCAGTACTTGAACCCATGTCTGCCTGAACTCTCCAAATCTACATCTTTTCCAGTGAGGACTCTGCTAAAGTATATAACCTTTTACATGTATCAGTGTTTGGAATGGAAACTAACGGTTCTGTTTTCACCTGACCTTGAATCACTAAAAATGAGAAGATGATTTCATAGTCACAATATTGTATCTGATTTTTTTCCTCAAAAGAGCAGAAAGCAAATATGAGTACAGAAGACACCAAAGTTCATGGTAGAAATTATCAAATTAGG